>NC_000013.11:69317196-69468712 GCF_000001405.40 Homo sapiens | reverse complement strand
AAAGCTACTGATATGGTTTATTCTCTGACAAAGGAAATGCCTACATGTTTTGCTAAGAAAAAATAAATTCCTTTGGGCATGGGGCCAGGACTAAGTGAGATGTATTCTATGGACTACAGGGAGCTGGACAACTCCTGTAAAAAAGGTACAACATTTACTCAGCTATAGAAGGCTACCTCTGGAATATTCAGAATTTGTTGTCTGTAAAATCATGTTCATTGGGTGTTTGTCCATTAATAAAGGTATGTTTTCATTTATATTATATGAGATAAAATTTACATAGACTTTGGCATCCCCTAGAGGCAAATCCTACTCTACACTACCAAGATAATTATGGTAGTAGGTTAAGTTATGGAACAGTTGGGGACTCAGCAATCATTTTTCATTCTTAACTAATAGTGATTTAATAATTTTAATTCAAAGCAATAACATTAAAATACTATGAAATTTCTGATGATTTCCAAGAGAAAATAGAAAAGTCAACATTTCTGTTTCAAAGGTTGGATCTTAAAATAACTGACCATAATTTTGTGGTGTATTGTGCAAAAGACACATTATTAAGCATCAGGCAGTTATGTCAAGTGAAAAGAAAAATAAAGAGTTGTATTCACCTCAAAAACTTAAATTTTATTGCTACAAAGGGATTCAAATACCTAAAAATACAACTTACAAGGTACGTGAAGAACTTCTACAAGGAGAACTACAAACCACTGCTCAAGGAAATAAGAGGACACAAACAAATGGAAAAACATTCCATTCTCATGGAAAGTAAGAATCAATATTGTGAAAATGACCATACTTCCATAAGTAATTTATAGATTCAATGCTATTCCCATCAAGCTACCAGTGACTTTCTTTGCAGAATTTCAAAAAAAGCTACTTTACATTTCATGTAGAACCAAAAAAAGCCCATATAGCCAAGACAATCCTAAGCAAAAATAACAAAGCTGGAGGCATCACACTACCTGACTTCAAACTATACTGTAAGGCTACAGTAACCAAAACAGCATGGTACTGGTACCAAAACAGATATATAGACCAATGGAACAGAACAGAGGCCTCAGAAATAAGACCACACATCTACAGCCATCTGATATTCGCCAAACCTGACAAAAACAAGAAATGGGGAAAGGATTCCCTATTTAATAAATGATGCTGGGAAAACTGGCTAGCCATATGCACAAAACAGAAATTTGACCCCTTCTTTACACCTTATACAAAAAATTAACTCAAGATAGATTAAAGACTTATATGTAAAACCCAAAACCATAAAAACCCTAGAAGAATATCTAGGCAATACCATTCTGGACATAGGCATGGGCAAAGACTTCATGACTAAAACACCAAAAGCAATTGCAACAAAAGCCAAAATTGACAAATGAGATTTAATCAAACTAAAGAGTTTCTGCACAGTAAAAGAAACTATCATCAGAGTGAACAGGCAACCTACAGAATGGGAGAAAATTTTTGCAGTCTGTCTGTCTAAGATCTGATATCCAGAATTTACAAAAAACTTAAACAAATTTACAAGAGAAAAACAAACGACCCCATCAAAAAGTGGGTGAAGGATATGAATAGACACTTCTCAAAAGAGACATTTATGTGGCCAAAAAACATATGGAAAAAAAGCTTATCATCACTGTCATTAGATAAATGAAAATCAAAACCACAATGAGATACCATCTCATGCCAGTTAGAATGGCGGTTATTAAAAATTCAGGAAACAACAGATGCTGGCGAGGCTGTGGAGAAATAGAAATGGTTTTACACTATTGGTGAGAGTGTAAATTAGTTCGACCATTGCGGAAGACAGTGTGGTGATTCCTGAAGGATCTAGAACCAGAAATCCCATTTGCCCCAGCAATCCCATTACTGGGCATATACCCAAAGGATTATAAATCATTCTACTGTAAAGACACATGTACATGTATGATTATTGCAGCACTATTTACAATAGCAAAGACTTGGAACCAACTCAAATGTCCATCAATGATAGACTGGATAAAGAAAATGTGGCACATATACACAATGGAATGCTATGCAGCCATAAAAAAAATGAGTTCATGTCTTTTGCAGGGACATGGATGAAGCTGGAAGCTTTCATTCTCAGCAAACTATCCCGGTAACAGAAAACCAAACACCGCATGTTCTCACTCATATGTGGGAATTGATCAGTGAGAACACATGGACACAGGAAGGGAAACATCACACACCGGGGCCTGTCAGAGGGTAGGGGGGAAGGAGAGGGGGAGCATTAGGACAAATACCTAATGCATGTGGGGCTTAAAACCTAGATGATGGGTTGATAGGTGCCACAAACCACCATGGCACACGTATACCTATGTAACATACCTGCACGTTCTGCACATGTATCCCAGAACTTAAAGGAAAAAAAAAAAGTCTGAAATTGTAATTTAAATGGTATGGAAATATGAGGAACTCTAAAGCATAGTTATGAAACAAGTCAAAAAAATATAAAACTTCAGAAAATTCAAAGCACTGTCACACCATATCATATATAACCACTCCAATAAATCTTTGTGAAGGAACCAGGAGCAATGTTGCTATTACCTATATTCAAATCTCTCATTTGCTACTTGGTAATATTTTCGCTACATTTGGTCAATTTATCCACATTAATTCTTCGATTTCATTTCTTAAAAAATGTGAATTGTAATTGTACTTAATTCTAGCATATAATTTTTGGGTTAAATAAAAATAATGTTTATAAAACTCTTATCAGAAGCTTAGCTCCATAGATGTTAGTTATTAATATCCCTAACTTAATGTTGATAAAACTGCTGCTAAGTAAAGATAAATGATTTGTTTCTGGTCACATAGTTTACACAAATACCAACGAAAATTTGACTTGATTTTAGACCGGTTGAATGTGTTACTATGAATTCATATTTCCTGAATTAAAAAATATTTAAAATAAGAACACATCTGCTAATAAAACAGTAGACATAAATATAATATGCCAATAAATTTAAAATGCATATATTGAATGGTATATTCAAAACCTTCTGTTCTTCACATCTCACTGCTGGGAAATGAAAAGTTAGGCTGCAAATTGGAGAGAATATTTGCAAAACACATAACTATCAAACGGCCTATATGCAGAATATATTTAAGAAAACTTTAAAAACTAAATAAACTACAACAAAACAAACTTCCAATAAAAAATGAACAAAATAATTCACAGATATTTTGCAAGGAAAGGTATGTTAATGACCAATATGCACATAAAATAAACTCAATATCATTTGTCATCAGGGAAACATTGACTCAAACAACAGCGAGATACCACTTTACACCCACTAGAATAGCTAAAATTAAAAGATGGGCTCTCATTTTTGAAAGCGTTAAAGCTTAGAGAATGGAGATCAGAATAAATTCCTTGATAGGAAAAAACAGGATGAAATTCTGAGCAGATATGGATAATTTAATCTTTCATAAACATATTTTTTAATAGGAAAGAAGGCAGGCATTATGTGCGTAGACTAGGTACAATTGTATTTGTGATAAGGCGATAATGTCAGAGCTCTTGAAAATATATATTTTCTTTGAGATCTATAAAGATTTTTCTTCTAGCAGTAGGAGACGTGAGGGCAATTGTAGGTAGCAGAGCAAGGAGAAGTTAAAATCTAGTTATGATGGAAATCAGGAAAATGTAGGATTGCTGGAAAGTTTGAGTCTTTATCTACACTTTGGGTAATTGTATAGTGATATTACCCAAAATTTTGTGTAGAGGCAGAATAATGGTAAACTGAGGGGACAGAGTCCCGAGTCAGACCACATGAGTTTAGATCCCATGTTTGAAAAAAAAAATCTTCGTTATTTGGGGAAAGTTAAATGTTCTTTTGTTTCTCCTTTATCAGCTGTAAAATGAAAATATTAGCAGTGCTTGGGTTCTGTGTAGAGACAAAGTGAGTTAATATAAGTACATATTTAGATAGCTCTAACATATACTGCTATCTGTGTTAATAATAGCAATACCACTGGCCATGTTCAGCTGTTCTGGCATAGGCGAGGAAAAGTACATTGTTAGAGAGAATCAGCGTCGGACATTTTTTCAGGTCAATGCAATGAAGGGTGAGTAAAAAACGTAAAGAACAATTTCAAGGGTATTACAGTGAACCAGAATCTAAGCCGAATAATGAGACAAATAAAAATATAAGGGGTGATAGTAATGAAATTGTGCTGGCAGAGCTATCAAGTTGAATTTCTATATGACTTGGCCAAGTAGGGAAATGAGACAAAAATATAGGACGTATGCTTTTAAAATGAGACAGTTCAGATTTCTGAGCCATTGCAATTGCCAAGCATAAAGGTTTTGAGGTATGACCATGAGGATGAAGGCTGAGGTGCTAGGAGGAAACTGTTTTTGGAGATAAGAAGATCAAAGTTGATGAGTGATCCATTTCTGGACTAATTATCCATGGGTAGTTTGAAACTATAATGAGGTGTAAAAGCAATAGAGGTAAAGAGGAATATTATGGTCCAGTTTCCAAGGGTTTTATAGTCTAAATGAGAGAGAACAAGAAGCTGGGATAGCATGTAAGATAGAAGGTGGTATAGTCTAATATCGTGTGCTCCAGTGAAATGGAATCTTTTGTAGAAAAAAAAAGGATAAAAGTTTTGAAAATGCAGTAATGAATGGAGAAGTCTACACTCACTGTTTTTGTGGCTGTCTAAAAGCCTTCAGCTGAGAGACATACTAAAGGGAACAATATATTTGAGGCATACCCAGCATAAGAAGATGAAAAGGAACTTTAGGAAAATACATTGAAGATGTAGAGGGTTTAACATAATCTTGTGAAATAAGCAGAGAAAGCATGCATGTGGAAGCAACCTGTACCAACTAAAGTTACAGATGTTAGCCTGCAGGGTCACAAGTAATTTCACGTTTTCAGAGAGTAGTTTCAATTTCCATGATTTTTGTTTGCTAAGCCCCCAGCTGCCAGCCTTTATTTATCAGTCCTCGGCTGGGTTCTACTGGCTGTTAAGCCCCACAAGGTCTGTCTTGCAGAGCATTGAAATGCCCTAAGTGGCCCTTTATGGATTCTTTCTTAGGTCCAAATCACTACCAAGCCTAGAGATATCTAGCCCTTCTCCTGAAACTATAGGCATCTTTCCTTAAGGTGATGCCTTTGCTTAGGTCCCTGCAATTACTACAGAGCTTGTTTAAATATCTTTCCCAAGCCTCAGGAATAAAAACCAAATGTTCAACTGTAAAAATATCACCTGGATAAAACTAAGCCTCTCCTAAGGTTAAAAGACTCTGCCCACATACTAAAATCCAAGGTTCAATGCCATACATCCTCTGCACAGAAGTAGCCTTAATCATTTCCCTAAATTACCATTTTTGTTTTATGATTTAGAATATCTAACAAGTACACCAAAGTTTAAGGACTCTGAAATTAATGGCTCATAGCTGCATATGTCCCAGGGAGAGACAGGACCTTGTGTAATATACACTATTCAGGAAATAAATTAATAGTAGCTATTCTCTGTAGATAAGAACAATGGAGCATATCAATACGTATTTGAAGTAAAACACTCTACCTTCCCAAGGCAGAATGAGTAAAATGGTGTAGAGAGGCCAGAAAGTACACTGAAAACCTTCCAAATGTATGTGAAAAAGAAATGCCACTCCTTTCCCAAAGAAATAGCAAGTGAATAGAGACTTACTCTTAGGGAAAACTGTTGACTACTCATGGAATGACATTCAGGAACAGGTATGAGAGCCTCCTGTTCTGTAAGAATAGGGGGTTAAATATAAGCAATGCAGCCCTAGCCAGAAAAATCAAGTAACTTAGAAATAAGTTTAAAGTTTCCAGACCAGGCTACTGTAATGCCCAACCTCGTTTTTACTAACCCTGTTTTTGGGCTTGTTTCCACCTGAATTGACTCTCCCTTAGCTAAGAGAGCCAGACACACTCCATCTTGGCTCTCTCACTGGCAGCCCCTTCCTCAAGGACTTAACCTGTGCAAGCTGACTCCCAGCACATCCAAGAATGCAATTAATTGATAAGATACTGTGGCAAGCTATATCTGCAATTCCCAGGAATTCGTCTGATTGATAATGCCCAAAGCCCCGCGTCTATCACCTTGTAATAGTCTTTTTTTTTTTTTTTTTTTTTTTTTTTTTTGAGACGGAGTCTCGCTCTGTCGCCCAGGCTGGAGTGCAGTGGCGGGACCTCGGCTCACTGCAAGCTCCGCCTCCCGGGTTCACGCCATTCTCCTGCCTCAGCCTCCCAAGTAGCTGGGACTACAGGCGCCCGCCACTACGCCCGGCTAATTTTTTGTATTTTTAGTAGAGACGGGGTTTCACCGTTTTAGCCGGGATGGTCTCGATCTCCTGACCTCGTGATCCGCCCGCCTCGGCCTCCCAAAGTGCTGGGATTACAGGCGTGAGCCACCGCGCCCGGCCCACCTTGTAATAGTCTTAAAGCCCCCGCACCTGGAACTGTTTACTTTCCTGTAACCATTTATCCTTTTAACTTTTTGCCTACTTTATTTCTGTAAAATTGTTTTAACTAGACCCCTCTCCCCTTTCTAAACCAAAGTATAGAAGAAAATCTAGCCCCTTCTTCGGGGCCGAGAGAATTTTGAGCGTTAGCCGTCTCTCGGTCGCTGGCTAATAAAGACTCTTAATTCGTCTCAAAGTGTGGCGTTTTCTCTAACTCGCCTGGGTACAACACTACCACAGTCTTTCAGTTTGTAATGTCTGTTTGAAAAGGTCAACACTGACCTAAGTTGTGGAGATCAGTTAGGATACATTCTGATTTAAACATTAGTTTCAACTCTAAAATTCCATTATTGTCTTTAAAATTGACAATCAAAACCACTAACAACCAAAAACAACCACTTAATTTTAGCTTACATTCAAAGGACGTTTCCTAAAGTAACGAAAACAAAATAAAACTACAGCAATGGTTTAAGTGACTAATTACTTTATAGAAAATTACCTTTCTTCCTTAAAACAGTGTGAGGCTGCCAAACTCACTTCTGTTGTAGTGAGGAGCCTCATGTTATTTGGCTTCTGGTCTCCATCTGCGTTTGTCTGCATCTGCTTTTATCCTCCTCAAACTCCTCTCAAAAGGAGCACAGAGAATCTGCAATTCATGTCAGGGCACCCAGCCAGATTAGAAGCTGCCAAATATCAACATCAGGTTTTGTGAGAAAAATTAAGTTACTTAAGCCTTTTCTGCAGCATAGCAGTGGTGGTGGTGGATGAAAGGTTATGCAGTTTGGATCTCTATTTCCATCCTGCTGAGAAAAGATAATTTGGAAGTAAGCGTGTGAGGTTATGATGTGATTTGGACATTTTATGGTGACCTAACCTTTTCAAATGCTATTCTTACTGTGTCTGGTTTTGTTGGTGGTGATTTTCTTTACTGTTTTTCTGCAGTTCTCACACTACAACTTAGAGAGTAGAATGTGAATAAGGTCACATGTTACATTTTTAAGAGTTTTGTGGTTCTATGCCCATCTTCATTATCCAGTGCAGTAAAAGTAATAACATGAGTGTTTTTTTCTTCATTGGCACTCTGGTTGTTTCATTCCTAATAAGTGATTTTCAGTTGACTTACAATAAAATAAATTACAATTCAAGGATATGAACAATAAGAAATCTCAAGAAATAGACAATGATTGGGGACACTTTGAATATGTATTCATCAGTAAATAATAATAACAATAGTATGTACTCATAGGTTTACTTTGAGGTTTAAGTAAATCAATATAAGAAAACTGTTAAGAATATATAGTTAATGATGAATGAAATTAGTTACAATTATTATATTAATGCATATTTTGAATCTTTCATAGGAAAGATGTTAATAGCAGGAGAAATATTTTAAATGTTTATAAAACTTTGTAGTTTGATAAAGTGTCTTCATATACATCAATTCATGTGAGCCTTATGACAACTTCATAAAGATAAGAGCAAATAAAAAATTACAAATTTAAATCTAAAAATCTATCTACAAAATTTAAGAACAAAGTATTTTTATGTCTTATTCAAGTCACTCAGTTAGTAGGAAATGACAGAACCCCAGGATTTTGTCCATAAATCTGTGACTCTTGGTTTAATGTCATGGATATGAGACTCAGAATTCTTAGGGGAATTTTTTCAGACTATACTGTGTGATGGCGAAAGAACTTTTTCTTCTTGTCCGTTAAGGACAATTATTTGATACCTCCAAAATACTTTACCATTGTGTATTTGACTCAAAATCTGAATGTGTAGGTTATTCCAGAAAACAGTACTGATATAGAGCTTGAGATGAAATACATTCAGAAAATAAACATGTAAACATTCCATAACCCACGTGGCTTAATAGCTGAATAAAAATAAATACATAAATAGATAACAGGCTTTATTTTGTCCATGAGTAGAAGAAATAAATTAATATCATAGGCTATAAGGAAACCAGCTTAGGTAACTTTATCATTCAGGATCTCTCTTAGGTCCTTAACTGTGTGAATGCCTGTGGATTTTCCTTTTACTTTACATCCCTTCCAAGTAAGGGATGACATACTTATACTCTTTCCATTCATTTCTGGACTCTTTATACCATTTTCAGAGGCACAACATTCATGCTTACTTTTTAAAGATTTTTTTTCTGAATTTTGTGGTATCATAACTACAAAAACTCTCATTTTTTATTCAGCTTTTTCTAAAAATATGTAAATTAGATCCCACAGTATTTATTGCAGGTCATATTGTCAGTGTTAACACATCTCATGGTTTTATTAGCTATAGACGACAGATCCTGTGTCCCACAGGATTAGAAGATCTAAAACTACAGAATGGGTCTCTCTGAAAGTCTCAATCAAAAAAGAAAAGAGACATAAAGGTTTTTCAGATAAAATATTGCAAACATTTTTTTCATATTTTTTCTAAATAATTTTCATTCCACAAATACATAAGATAAAAGAGGCAGAAAGACAGGTTCACTATGTTATCTTGTCCACGTCTCTTGTCTCCATTAATACTTAATAATGGGCAACTGCACCAATTGGTTCTGCATTGTGCTTTTAAAGAATCAAGTTTTCATATTTACATTTCAATAAAGCTGTAGCAGAAAAACGAGATGTACAAAATGACTGTTATTCTAAGGCAATTACTTAGGGCAATTTAAATAATAAAGGAAATTAATTATGTAAATGTCCAGCTATTCTCAGCCATTCAGCCTTGATGAGCTTCAGCAGAGAACAGGGTAAGTTGTACATCGTTTCCTTTTTCCTTCAATACTCTGTGAGAATTATATTTATTAGAGTTAAACTGCTTAATGGAACTGATAAATTTCTAATATACAGTATAAATATGTTGGAACGTGTATTGTAGACAAAGGAACATACAAGACTAATACATTTATAAAAGCAGCATAGGTATTAAGGACTGAAGAAACAGAAGTATAATTTTTAAAAAGGAAGAATAGTTTTTATAGTAACAATAAGAAAGTACCTTTTAATGGCATCTACTATAGCTGGAAGGAAATTTAGGTATTGGAATTTAATCCAATATCTCTCTTTTAGATGGAGATGCTGATGTGGAGAAAAGGCTAAGCATCTTGTCTCAGACTATGTAACTAGTCTGACAGAGCCTTCCGCAGATCCAAAGCGTTTGACCTAAACACTTTTTAGCGTGTTATAGATTATTTTGCGTGATAAAATAATTTTATTTCTTCTCAAATCGTAAAAGTTCTGATAAGAGTTACATTTTGTTATCTAAGGAGACATTTTCTGATTTCTAGTTTTACATGAGTCACAAAAAGAAAATTCTTCCATGATTTACCTAGAAAATCTATGGGTCCTTGGCCAGGCACAGTGGCTCACACCTATAATCCCAACACTTTGGGAGGCTGAGGTGGGCGGATCACGAGATCGAGACCATCCTGGCAAACATGGTGAAACCCCATCTCTACTAAAAATATAAAAATAAGCTGGGCCTCGTGGCACGTGCCTGTAGTCCCAGCTACTCAGGAAGCTGAGGCAGGAGAATCAGTTGAACCCGGGAGGCGGAGGTTGCAGTGAGCCGAGATCATGCCACTGCACTGCACTCCAGCCTGGCAATAGAGCGAGACTCTGCCTCAAAAAAAAAAAAAAAAAAAAAAAAGAAAGAAAGAAAATAAAATCTATGGGTCCTTTTCTTTCTCTGTGTGATGTAGTGGCTCTTGGATTCCAAAGTACTTGTTTGTGTTTCTAGGATGAGTTATGCATTTCTGCATTTCTCTGACAGAATAGAGAAGAAATAGAGGTAGTAATTTTGAGCAGAACTACATTTGAGAATGACAGTCCCAGGAGATGAGGGAGTATGAGAATGGAGGCAGTTTCTTTTTCCTTTATGACATGGAAAAACCTATTTGTTTTTAGAAACTCAAACTCATTTAACAAATCTGTATTGCATTTAGATAAGAAGCAGACAGAATGTTCTTAAATAAATTAGATGTGATCCCTGCCTTTAAGTTATGAACAATTAATTGAGGGTATCAGATTATCAAACAGGAAGGACATGAAACAGAATGTTAACTGAGAGCACTCTGAAAAAGCACTTAGAGAGTGCATGGCACATAATTAGTGCTGAACAGATATTTTCAGACACTAAATTGGAATGTGGTAAACACTGTAATAATGCTTGTAGGCTAACACAAGGAAAGAAGGCAGTTGTGGTAGGACTTAAATAAATAGGTAGCATTTTAACTAATGTAACTTGACAGAATAAACAAATGAAAGAGGCAGTTTGAGGAAAATTAAGAAGGCAGAAAAAAATAGTAGGCACTTCAGTAATCAAGATTAAATGAAATTCTGAAAAGATTTATTCCTTCACATTTGTTCCTTTACATGATCATAAACACTCATGTAAAGAATGCAAGCATGTCATCCCTTACCTGAAATGAACAATAAAATAGCTCAGATTCTTAAGTCTGTTTGTTTTCATTTCCTTTGTGAATTGCTTTTCTTTCAGTCATTGTACCTTTTTGATTATGTAGACCAAACTACGTAATAATGGTCTTTTATACATACTTGGATTTTGTTTTCCTCCCTTATACTTCTTGTTCTTATCATGTATATGTTAGTAATGTTTGCATTATCTATATCTTTGGAGAGTAGCATGACCTATAAATTTCCACATTCGCTTTGTGACGGCCTGCTGCATGATAGTAAGCTTATTATAAGCCAAGAAAATCAACACCTTCTCACCAAAAGACAGATTGCTTGAGTAGAGCAACAATATGAAAAAAAAGTAAAAGCCCCAACCTAACGACAGATGTTGCTGTTTCTGCCAAGTATCGCTCTGTCTCTAAGCCCCATTTATGGAAAACCATGTAAGTTAATCAGCAGAATATAATTTTGTTTACAATGTTTATACTGATAATCCCTTTCAGTGACATGTAAATTCTTGGAAACTGATCTAAGTTGTTAATCTAGTTAAAGCAATGTCTTGAATTCTAAAGTTCTATGTTACCAAATAGTTGACAAAGAGATTTATTTATTTTTTTCAATTAAATTAATTGCAATAATTTGTACTCTGGAATAGATGAGTAGACTTAAGCATTGTTTAAAATTGAAATGTCCCTTTCGTGAAAAAATTTTCACAGGTCCTGCTAATACCTGCCTTTCTCTTATTAACTTGTACAAGTTACTCATTATATATAGATATAGTTATATGTGTAAATAGAGATTGATATCAATTTATATTGAAAGAAACTCCTATACATACAGACATATACAGTCCTGTGCCTCATAATGATATTTTAGTCAAGGGTGGACCACATATACAGGAGGTCTTCACAAAGTTCATGGAAAATGCATATTATGAAAAAAACTATGCATAGATTTCAAAAAAAACATTTGTGCCAAAACAAGTAGTACCTACCTGTTATAACATTTCTGAATAAGATCTAACTTGAGGCATTAAGAAGCATAAGACATCAGTTTGGAAAGAGCCCTTATTGGCAATGTGGTTTATGCTAAAACTGAAGCAAGAGCAAATATCAAATTTATGGTGAAGCTTGTGTGGAAGAACGATGAAATCATTGACACTTAAAAAAAAGTTTATGGGGACAATGCCCCAAAGAAATCAGCATTTACAAATGAATAACTACATTGATTAAGGGACGAGATGATGTTGAAGATGAAGCCTGTAGCAGCAGACTATCCACATCAGTTCGCCAGGGAAAAATTAATCTTGTTTGTGCCTTAACTGACTGCTGGTTAAGAGCACAAACAGTAGCCAATACCACAGATGTCTCAAGTAGTTCAGCTTAGCTAACTCTGACTGAAAAATTAAAGTTGAGTAAACTTTCCACTCAATAGGTGCCAAAACCATTACACCCAAATCAGCTGCAGACAAAAAAAATAATTTTCAATGAAAATTTTAAACAAGTGGGGTCGAGATGCTGAGGGCTTTCTTTGGGTTATTGTAACAGGAGATGAAACCCGGCTCTACCAGTACGATCCTCAAGACAAAAGACAATCAAAGCAATGGCTACCAAGAGCTGGAAGTGGTCCAGTCAAAGCAAAGGAAGATCAGCCAAGAGCAAAGGCTATGGCCAACAGTTTTTAGGGATGCTCAAGGCATTTTGCTTTTTGACTTTCTGAAGGGCCAAAGAATGATAACACCTGTTTATTATGAGAGTGTTTGAGAGACTTAGCCAGAGCCTCAGCAGAAAAATGCCCAAGAAATCTTCACCAGAGAGCCCTTATTTGCCATGACAGTGGTCCTGCTCATTCCTCTCATCTAACAAGGACAATTTTGTGAGAGCTTTAATAGGAAATCATTAGGTATCCACCTTGCAGTCCTGATTTGACTCCTTCTGATTTCTTTTTGTTTCCTAATCTTTAAAACATCTGTAAAGGGCACCCATTTTTCTTCAGTTAATAAGATAAAAATACTGCATTGACATGGTTAAATTCCCAGAACCCTCAGTCCTTTAGGGATGAACTAAATAGCGATATCATCACTTACAAAAGGGTTTTGAACTATGTTGAGAAATACAGTTTATACTTTTTATCCTTATCGTGTAATTCCACTTTTTGATGAACTTTTTGAGGTCCTCCCATATAACAGTGATCTGTTAGGATTATAATGGAACTAAAAAATTTCTGTCATCTACTGATGCTGTGGCCATGAGAACATAGCACAATTTCATTGTATATTTTATAAATTTAGCGTAGCCTAAGTGTAGAGTGTTTAGAAAGTCTAGTGTACAGTAATGTTCTAGGCTTTCACATTTACTCACTACTGACTCACTCACTCACCCAGAGCAACTTCCAGTCCTACAAGCTAAATTCATAAGTGCCCTATACAGGTGTACCTTTTAAAATATTTTATACTGTATTTGTACTGTACCTTTTTATATTTAGATACATAGATGCTTACCATAGTGTTACAGTTGTCTATAATAACATGCTGTGCAAGTTTGTAGCCTAGAAGTCATATAAGTTGTACGATATAGCCTAGCTATATAGTAGGATATACTATCTTTGTTTGTGTAGGTACACTCTGATGTTTCCACAATGAGGATGCATTTCTTAGAATGTATCCCCATTGTTAAGTGATGCATGACTATATTTGTATATCTGTAGATCTACATTTAGATATACAGAGATATACATATGTGTATATTGATATTATAGAACTTTCTACAAATTTAACCATTCACAAAGATAATTCTGCTAAACTTGAGTGACTTGAAATTTTTCTACAGGTAGAAGACATACTCCTTAAGCTAAGATCCTTTAATCCTCATCCTCATTCCTCAAATGCTGACATATATCAAGTAATAGTAGTATGTGTCAAATGAAGATTCTTTAACATAAGGTAGTCATTCAACAACCATCTATTGTGTCTACTACATGTGTGTGTTTGTACTAGGAACTGGAGTTATAAATGACAAATTCCCTACATCCTTGAATTATACCCTTGTAACTGAAGAGGGTCAGTGCTGTGATGAACTGTTCTGTCTGAAGTATAGTGGAATCACTGTAACAATGGTCATGAGTTGTACTTGGATGTGGATCAGTTGGGCTTTATGGAAAAGGCTATGTTTTAAGTACTCACTTAAAGAAAGAATATGGCACTAGATGCCAGAACGTTAAAAGGAAGCCATAAGTAAGTTAATATCAAAGGTTAGCATGAGTAAAGAATGTATTTAAAAATTGCAATGTATGGCTAGGGTATAAAGGTCAGGTTTAAAATAAGGAGAAAGCAAAGCTGGAAAAGAAAAAAGATCAAACCATGCCATATTAAAAAATGTGGACATGTTTGTTTTTAATGACAAATCAAATATTTCAGTCTGGAGCAAGACAAAATCAACTTTCTAATTTAGAAAGGAATATTTATTCTAGTAGGTAATGTTTTTGAGGGCTTACTACAGCCCAGTATTTGGAGATGTATTTAGAAATAAATTGAAAAGAATCTCTACACTCATGGAGCCTAAAGTCTAATGGAGAACACAGATATTAAACAAGAATTTTAAACAAAATTTGATCAAAAGATATTGTTGGAAAATCACAGATTTCAACAGAAAATCAAGGCCATGAATTAGTAATAAATATTGTGTCTCAGGTGCTAATGGACCACTTAGAAACAAATGTTTTTATTTATGTCTCTGGGACCAATAGCAGAGAAAAATGTGAGCTTTAGAGATAAAGATGTAGCTATTAAAATTAGGATATGGATGAAGCAGAGTAAATAAGATAGACCAGGGTGAGTAGAGTCCCAGGTCTAGTAGAGGAATTTGGTGCATACAGACATATAAAGGCTAAGCACAGAAAGGCCATTCCCCACAAAAAGAGTGAAAAGCAAGACTAGGGAGGGAGAAATTTACAGAAGGAAAAAAAGAAGTTCAAGAAAAAGATGATCAAGTAAAGTGAGATTTTTGAAAATTGTGTGTGGGTTTTTTTTTTTTTTTTTTTAGTTATGTTAGTGTAATTTCCATGGGACAGCACCAAAAATAAAAATTTCACTTGGCTGAGAAGTGAATGAAAATTTAAGAAGGTGAAGCAGGTGTTGTATAGAATTATTCTGAAGAGTTTGACATTGGAGGAAAAAGATATTGGTAAGTTACAAAAGAGTGATGTTGAGTAAATGAATTTTTTGTTTCAAATTAAAAATACCTGAGCATGTGTGTGGAATAACCTACTAGGCAGGGAGGTGAGTGTGTGTGTGTAATTATATAGAAATATGTAGAAAAAAATTCCATGTGACTGTTTCATTATTTGAATATCTATATTGAACAACTATGAGATGTCTGTTATTTTTCTGAGACCTGATTTTCCTAAATTCTATTCTATTTGGATGTTTTAAAATATTTGTGAATTCTAGGTCTTTTCCCTATTCTTGAATTGGGCCAATGTAAGAATGGAACAAGATAAACTTCAACTTTACTGAAAATGGAGGAGAATAAATGCCCTGCTCTGATCCAGAGAAATCGAATTATCAGTGTCTTCCTCTGTTTGAACACAAAACAAAGTTGAAGGAATTGTATAAAAATGTGAAACAAAATGTTTTAGCTCCCAGCAAATCTCCTTGTGTCTTTCATTATGAGTTTTTAAAAAATCTAGGACATAGTCCTTGCCAACAGGAGGCTTAACCCGGGGCCAGGACCTTAAAAAGTATAGCTACCAAAAGCCATTACCTTTTGAAATTGATCCAGAAGATGAGTCGTTGTGGGAGATGTTTCTACCATGAGCTTCTGAGAACTACAAGGAGTAGCCACTATGAGCTAAGTACCAGAGCTGCTACCATGCAGAGAATAAAAGCTTAGTAATTTTGCATAAAGCTGCCATCAGGAGGCATTATTAAGAGCTACAGTGTGGAAAAAGTGCTGTCTATGAAGGTTATCTCTAGGCTCAGAGCTGTCATTGTTTGAATAGGAAGATGATATTGATCAGGAATCTTTGCAATTCTGACAATAAGGAAGAAATAACTCCTGAAAGAGAGGACCCACATTTTCTTTTCAGTCTTGTGTCACTTAAGCTCATTATTATTATTCTTATTATGTTTTATCCTCTTCATAGAGGTTAAATAAAAGCTATTCAGGGAAGATAATAACTCTTCTTCTTAAGAAACTTTATGTTTTGAAATCTTAAGTATTCACAGTGTTAAAATAAATGAGCCAGAGACCTTGACGATTCACTTTGCATTGACCACGTGGGCCACGAAAAGATTTTGTGAGTTTCATTACATTGTGAGATAGGAATGATGTCATGTTTAACACTTGAAATGCAGATAAAGTACAAATATCAGAGATACTTCTATCTCTGTGCAAATGTGCAATGTGTTTTAAAATTTATATGGATAATGTATTCTTTTTAAAGGCATCAAATTATTTTTCTTTGGGAGACTTCTACTTCTGGTTATTAAAGAATAGTTTGTATTAGAATGATCCTCCCACTAAGAAAACAGGAAAGACTACATAGAATTAATTAACTGAAAAAAACGATGTTTGAAGGCATAATAGAGCAAATAAAACTTCCAGCATGAAACAAATCTGAGTTGTAGTTTTCCCATCTAGAGATGGGACTAACAGTTCATACTTTATAGAAAGGGATGATGATAATGATGGTGATCATTGCTGATATTTATGCAATGTGTTATATGTCTCTTATTGCAAGAAGTGTGTTGATTGTGTTATTTTGTATAATCTGTTTGATAGTTCTATACTATTGCTATTATTATAATCTCTATTCTACAAATGAGAAACATTTAATAAGTGGCCATGTATAGATTTGAGTATAATTTTCTCTGGCTTTAAGAATTTAGTATTGAATCATTCTATTATTCTGCCTATCAGCAAATCAGAGATAAAGTAGGTCACATACCTAGTAAGTGCTTGGATAACAGTAGGTGTTTCATACCCACAACAATTCTTTTCCACTTTATGACCCTAGCTCTTCATTGTTTAAACCCTTTTATTGAAGTACAAAGCCTGACAAACATAAAGCTCTACATATATAATGTATACAACTTAATGAGTTTGTAGATAAGTATACCTTCCTGTTCCCTCTGCTTATTCCATGGTCTACAATGCTCTTTCCCACATTGATCTACAATATTTGTTTTCTCATGTAATGTAAGTCTTTACGTAAATATCACCTCCTTCAATATTTCTTTCCTGGCCTCACTAGCTAAAGTATCATCTTTATTATTTCCACCTTAGTTTACTTACTTTGCTTTCCTTACTCCAATCATTATATATATATATTTTATAGATAGTATATTTGTACAAATATACAAATAAGCATCAAATATGTGATGTGTCTACTCCCACATTGTTAAGCTTCACAGAGGTAGAAGAATTTTCTATTTTGTTCAATGTTTATGCCGAGTACCTAGAACAGTTCCTGACATAGTTGATATTCAAACTATTTGATTTTATTAAAGTAACAGTAACAACTTATATTTAAATTATCAAAAGTTGAACTAAGAAGTGGTATATAAAACATAGAATAAAATATTGAAAACACTAAAATATAAAGTTAATACCATAAAGTATGACAAATATGATAATTCAATTTTTAAAACTTAGTATAGAACATAAAGGTTAAAAATAGTCTGTATTCTAGGGCTATAAGTTATTTTATTATTTGTTTCTTTATTTGTTTGATCCCAAATTATATGTTAATGATTATTGTTCTTGTCATTTATTACATCATTTGATTCTTGACAATGACTTTAATTTATAAATGAAGAAACTGGGGTTTTAGGTAACTAAACTGTTATGTATACTTTAAAAGGCTTAACCAATATTAAATTTGGACACAGGCTATGTATGAGTTTTCAAACTTCTTCCCATTTTGAAAACCACTATTAAAAATAATGATTTTATCCAATAAATACCACATCTACATATTTCATGAGTAAAGTACATATTAGTCTTTTCACTTATAATTTTTAGGTTTTCTGACAGCTATGCCTATTTTATATTGTTCTGTTGTATATTCAAGACATATTGTGTCAATGTAGCTGGTTTTTAGGGTATCCAAAACAAGCATTTTCTCTCTCCTGTGGTTAAAAAATGTAGTTTATTTTCAAAGGGGACAGAAAACTGGAATCAAGTCACAAAGGCATTTACCTGTCACAGACTAGGAGCATACCACAGAGAGCAAAACTGATGGTACTGTGCATCTGTGCATTCAGCATTCTGTGGCTCAAAGCCACTAGACTCTTTTCTGCATGACCAACTGACTAATTGCTGTACTTGGCCTTTTCTATTCTCTTCAATTAATGCAATGCACAATTGCACATAGCAACAGAGTCACCCATACAGAACAGAATCTGGGCCAGAATTAGGCTCTAAATCCCAGAAGCACCTGTTACAAATATAAAGCGTCCAGATGGTCCAGTCTTTGTGGGGAAGTGTGAAGCATTGACTTTTCTGTCTTTCTTACTTGTGGTTTAAGGTCAAAATCATGATCTGTTGGAAGCAGGGAGCCATATAAATATCAGAAAAAATACCTAGGATTAGTGTTGAAACTCCTCAATTTGTTTGTCTAAATCTTTATTGCTCAGTGAAGCTCATTGTTATCATTTTCTAAGCATGCAAATGGGATTAGTCCATGAATACATGGCAGGCTTCAGTATAATTAGATAGATTTATTTAAACACAGCTGTAAATCATAAAAATGTGAAATATTTGATGATTGTAAATTCATCCATTTGTATATTCAAACTTTAGCCTTCAATCAACTTCATTGTTCTAATTTGTTTGAGATTCTAGAAAATATAAAATATTACCTTAGCTTAGCTCAGCTTTTTATTGTTTTAACTTACTTTAAACATATAGAAAAATAAATGATGTTATATGTTTCAAGAGAACTTTAGCTGTATATATTGCATGTGTGTTCTTCCTTTTCCATATAAATGAGATACTATTTAAATTGTACTTTCACGTATTCATAATCCTTCACAATAACAATTTAAATTTTAGTGAACCATCTAGACATTTTATACTTTGTATTACAAAAGAAGTTAATGTAATGCTTTTTATTTGCTACTTTTCAATATCAGTTCTACATGGTGCATGATAACTTGCTCTTGGAATTGATATTTTTTACAATTTTTCTGCAAATAAAGAGAAAAAAGGTTATTTTCTGAAAATCATCACGTGTTCTTAATTAATTCTCAAATGTGGCAACCGACAGGAAAAGCGAGTTTTCTTTCTTTTGTTGCTTATGCCAAAGCTCTAAGAAATTTTGTTACCAAAATGATTACACTGGACTTATTTCAGACTGTTGGAAAGGACTTAATATATACAATACATACTAAAGCTTTTATTCTGGGTCAAAACTACCAGTTCATATCTATTTTTCCCTTTCAAATTTTTTTAAAGAGATATACTTTAAAGACAGATCTAAATCTTTCTAATATTAATATTAACCGATAATATTAGTTGTCACACAATATTCAGATTCTAGATGCCTTTTATTACCATTTGGAAATGTTACATATTTTGCTGAAGTATATTCTCATTTTAAGCAGTAAGATTAGAAAGTCCAGTGACACTGAATTGTTAGAATAATAGATTTTTAACTTTCTAAAACTGTCATAAAATAGCTCAAAAGATTAAAAAAGTGTTTTACTTAAAAAGTACACGTGTGTATCATATATGTGTGTAATACATATAGAATGTAGGTATAAATTTATATATTCATATAGAAACTAAAAACAAATATGCTGAGCATTTAATATTCTTGGAGATGAATTTACATGAAATGTCCCAAGTTCTAAGTAACCTTTGGTTACACTCAATCTCTTGGGCAAAAATTGATTGCAGAATAAGCAAAAATAATTTAATATCAATCTTTTTAAGTTATTTATACTCATAGTGAACCTGTATCTTAACAAAAATTTTATGGATTCTATGTTGAAAGGTCAAATTAAAATTTTCACTCAGGTAAAGTCAAAGGCATATTTATTTTAATTATATTCTGAAGGATAATGTACCAATACTAATTATTTATGAGCTGATTATACTGTATTTACTAACCTCATTGTAAAATATTAGAGTGAGATAGAAACATTCTCCTAAGCATATTACTTGGTATTTCTCATAAATTAAAATGGAAAAACCAAAATTTGGCTTTACAAAATACTGCCTGCCCCCCAAAAAAAAAAAAGGATATAATCAAGAACCATTTCCAGCAATGGCAGGCAGTATGTCACATCCCCAAATTCCAATAGAAAATAATTAGAAAAGTTAGACAAAATGCATTAAAATATGTCTAAAGGTATCAATGAGCTAGAATGTAGAAAGGAACTGCAGGACCAAAATCTGAGAAAAGAAATGGGCCAAACAGGTGAGTGAGGCATTTAAGACATGTGCTTATTAATGAAAACATGACTTAAAGGATTAGAAGTTAGCAAAATCTTTAGTAGTTATAAGGGACTGAGGAGAAAAACATTTTATTTCAGGGATCACCAAGGAGGAAAGTCACTGGTAAGACCCGTGGATTGGGTTTGATACCAAAGTTGTACAGTACTATGCACAAAAAATAAGCCAACCTTCACAGGAACTAAAGACTAATTTTGACCCTTCTCAGGCCCTCATTGGATTAAAGCTATCTTGTATTATTAATGCATATAACCTAGTGGTCTAGAATAGAGTGAAATCCTTTCTAGTGAAAGCAGATGTAACAAACAGACTCAAATTATCTCTAAAATTTTTATAATTTATGCTGCTAATAAAAATAAATATTAAAAATTTGATAGGATAAGATCATATGACCAAAAAACAAGAGAGTCACAAAATTTTTAAAAATGACTCTTCTGGATATGACTAAACGATTAAAATGCAATATTAATACCCACAGCAGAAAGCTAATAATTGTAAAAATAAAAGAACTAACACAAAGAAATAAAGATATGATGGATGGGTTTAAAACGAACTAGATAACACTGAATATATATTATCACACTGGAATATACAGTTAATCTTCATTGTTCACAGATTCTGTATTTGTGAATTTCCTACCTACTAAAATGTATTTGTAACCAAAAAAATCTATACTTGTGGTGCTTTTACAGTCATTCATGGATATGTGTACACAAAAAGCAGTGAGGAATCTGAATTGCCCATGTATACATTCCCAGCTGAGGTCAAACAAGACAACACTGTATCTTCTTGTATCAGCTCTCATAATGTAAACAAGCATCCTTTTTTCAATGTATTTAGTGTGGCATTTTTTGCACTGTGAATTTTTGTTGTTGATTTCACTGTTTGAATTGGTCCCAGTGCATAATGCTTAAGTGCTGACTAGTGTTCCTAAGCACAAGAAGGCTAGGATGGCCTGTCATCACAGCACTTTGGGATATAGAGGTAGGTGGATCACTTGAGGATTTTGAGACAAGGAGTTTGAGACCAGCCTGGCCAACATGTAAAACCCTGCCTCTACCAAAAATACAAAAATTAGCTGGGTGTGGCGGTGAATGCCTGTAATCCCAGCTACTCTGGTGGTAAGGCAGTGGGATTGTTTGAGCCCTACAGGTGAAGGTTGCAGTGAACTGAGATCATGGCACTGCACTCCAGCCTGGACAACAGGACCAGACTCATCTCGAGGAAAAAAAAAAGGAAAGAAAATAAAAGGCTATGCTATGATGTAGATAATGGAGGACATTTATGTTCCCCTTCATTCAGCCATTAAGTTATAGTTCTAGTAACCATACTTCTGTGTTGCTAAATCAACAATGTATATTTAAAAAGGTGTCTTTAAGCAGAAACACACACAAAACAAACATATATTGATTGGCTGATGAAAATGTTATTAGGAATTTAGCCCTGTATTTCTGTAGGAACGATGATTTGGTATTCGTTAATTCAGAGTCCATGGAACCATTATATAAAGCATAACTAATATGAATAATGATAATTGACTTTATTACAGAAGAGAATTTCCTGAACAAGCATAGAAAGATAAAAAGCTATATTATACAGAAAATAATTTAGGAATCCCCAGAAAAGATAAATGCTGTATAAAATTTGATATAATCACAAGTGAGAAATAGAAAGAAACCAAAAAGAAGAGAGAACTCAGAATTTTACAAAACTTATGGCAGATAACACAGGTAGAAAGATTACTCTTATCAAGCCATGTAAACATAAACATAAAACATCTACACTTTTAGAATAAAATGACTGAAACCAAACAAAAAAGACATATTAAAACATTCAGAATTAGAACAAACAAAAAGCTTCAAAAAGCAGCAATAGGGTTGATAGCTTTTTTTTTTAAACAAAAACAAAAATAAAAGCTAAATGATATAACAAATGAAAGAAACAAGGGATCCAGTAAACTACGGTATATCATTTAAAAGTATTGAAGGAAAGTAAGTGATATAGATAATGGAAATACAAGTGTCAATATCTGAATAAAACGAGTTAGAAAATCACAGGAAATTTGAAGTAATCATAAAGATAAATTTCCAAGAATGAGAAAAGAGAAATTCTTAAAATGAAAATAACTATAGATATATGTATTGATATCACTTATTTATTTCTTCATACATTATTCTAATATTAATGGCTTAAAAGGACAGCCACTGATGATCTCACAGTTTGCGCAGGTCAGGAATACAAGCAAGTTAGCTGGATGTTGTGGCTCAAAGTATCACCTGTAGTTTCAGTTAAGTTGTCAGGGGCTACATTCATCTGAAGGCTTTGGATGGGCTAGAGGATTTGTTTCCAGATGGCTTACTCACATGGCTCTTTGCTGGAGGCCTCTATTGCTCACCATGTGAGGTTTTTCATAGGAGGATTGCATCTCACAAAAATGGCTTTTAAATCACCCCAGAATAAGCAATCCAATAAAGAAGAAGGAAGAAGTTATTACTTATTTGTATCTGTTGTCTCCCACTCTGGAACAATAGCCAGATAGAGGCAGAAATGTTTTTGTATATCAACAATTCCAGTGCCTAAAACAGCAATACTCATGTGGTTAGCCTACATTTTGAAGACATGAATGAGTAAATATAAATTAGATTGTCAATAAACTGAACATATATAGGCTTAAAGTCTGTTTTTGATATTTATAGTTTTTCTTTAAAAGGATATTTATTGCGAAGTTCACAATAACGCTTCTATATTAATTACTTTTTATTTTTATATTTTCTTTTGAGGTGGCGTCTCACTCTGCCACCCAGGCTAAAGTGCAGTGGTGCAATCTCAGCTCATTGCAGCCTCTCAGGTTCAAGGGATTCTAGTGCCTCAGCCTCCTGAATAGCTGAGATTACAGGCACCCGCCACCATGCCCTGCTAATTTTTGTATTTTTAGTAGAAACGAGGTTTCATCATGTTGGCCATGTTGGTCTCAAGTTCCTGACCTCAAGTGATCCACCCACCCCGGCCTCCTAAAGTGCTGGGATTATAGGCATGAGCCATTGTGCCAGAACAATTACTTTTTTAGTTAAAGGAAGTGTAGTGACTTCAGCAAGATAGTGGAGTAGGAAGCCCTAGACCTTGCTCTCCCCCAGCCCCAGAATCACCAACTTAATAACAATATAAAGTCCAAAAAGCCTTGATGATAATACTAGAAACCAGTTAGGAAATTTTAGTGTTCTGGCAAAGTTCAAATCCAAGAACTGTTGCACTAAAATGAGTAAGAAAAGCCATTTCATATCATCCATGTCAATTCCTCCCTCAGGCCAGACAACTCCTAGTCAAGAAGAAAAGCTAAATGTGCAGCTTCTTTCTTGGAGAGTGGGAGAGAAAGGGAGAATGACCTATGATCTGGTTTTGTAGGAGGCTGCCTGTAGGACTGGATTCTCTGTCTCACCTGTCTTGTACTGCTGCTAGGGAATCAGCATACTTTGGATGCCTGGAGATTGCTGTGAATAAAACAAAACTCACCAGCTTTTGGCAGCATCAGAGAACTTGTAATATCAAAGACAGAAACCTATTAGCTTGCCCCTATTAGAAGAAGGTGCCTAGCCCCTTCCAGACTCATTTTATGAGACCAGCATTATTCTGATACCAAAATTAGGCAAAGACACTATAAGAAAAGAAAAAGACAGACCAATATTCCTGGTGAATATTAAGGCAATAATCCTCAACAAAATACTAGCAAAACAAATTCAACCACACATTAAAATAATTATACACCCCAACCAAGTGTCATTTATTCCTGGAATGCAAGAGAGATTGATAGATTGAACATATGAAAATCAATCAGTGTAATATGACACATTCACAGAAGGAAAAAAAGACATATGATCAAATTGATGCAGAAAAGGCATTTGACAAAATTTAGTACCCTTTTATGCCAAAAGCATTCAACAAGGTGAAAATAAAAGAAATTTACCTCAACACAATAAAGAACATAATAAATAACCCAAGCCACATCAAACCACATAATAGTGAAAAATTGAAGCGTTCCCTACGAGAACAGGAAGAAAGATATGATGCCCACTCTCACCACTTCTACTCAATATAGTAATGAAAGTCTCAGCCAGAAAAATCAGGCAACAAAAAAATAAACAAATAGAAGACATCCAAATAGGAAAGGAAGAAGTAAGTTTACCTCTCTTCTCAGATGATGTGATTGTGTATGTACAAAACTCTAAAACTTCCACAAAAAAACAGAACTAATAAATGAATTCAGCTAAGATACAGGATACACAATCAATGCACAAAAAATCAGTTGCATGTCTATACAATAATAATGAACAATTCATAACTAAAAGTAAACAATCTGATTTATAATAGCATCAAAAACAAAACAAAAAATCGGAAATAGAATTAACGGAGAAAATGAAAAACTTTTACACGCAAAAAAGCTACAAGACACTCCTGAAAGAAACTAAGAGAAGACATAAGCAAATGGAAAATTATCTCATGTTCATAGACTGGAAAATTTAATATTGCTAAAATGTCTATGCTATCCAAAGTGATCTACAGATTTAATCAAAATCCCAGTGGCATTTTTTGCAAGAATAGACAAAAAAAAATCCTAAAATTTATCGGAATCTCAAAGGACACCAAATTGCAAAAACAATCTTTAGAAAGAAAAGCAGAGCCGGAGGCCACATACATCCTGATTTTAAAATGTGTTATGTATCTACAGATGTCAAAACAGTGATATTTGCATAAAAAAAGATTCGGAGACCAATGGAATGAAATAGAGAGCCCAGAAATAAATCCTCATGTACATGGTCAAAAGATCTGCCAGAAGGGTGCCAAGACTTCACAATGGGAAAAGGAGAGTCTCGTCAACAAATGGGGTTGAGAAAACTGGATATCCATGTGCAAAGAAGGATGTTGGAGCCCTATTTTACACCATATAGAATAGTAACCAAATGGATTTAAGAGCTAAATGTATAACCTGAAACTGTAAAACTCCTTGAAGAAATGGAGGCAAAACTTTATGACAGAGTGAATTAGGTAATAATTTCCTAGATAGGACACGAAAAGCACAGGCAACAAAATACATGAAATGGTACTGTAAAATAGACAAGTGGGACTACATTGAACTAAAAATTTCTACTCAGAAAGAAAACAATTAACAGAGTGAAAACACAACCTATGGAGTGGGAGAACATATTTGCAAGCCATATATCTGAAAGAGATTAATGCCAAGAATGTATAAATAACTTCCACAATTCAAGAACAAAAATATATATACAATCCAATTTAAAAATCAAAGGAGGATTTTAATAAACATTTATCCAAAGAATATATGAATGGGTAAATAACATGCAAAAAGATGCTCAACCTCACTGTATTAGTCTGTTTTGCATTGCTATAATGGAATACTGGAGGCTGGGTAATTTATAAATAAAAGAGGTTTATTTGGCTCACAGTTCTGTATGTTGTACCAGAAAGTGGCACCAGCATCTGCTTCTAGTAAGGCCTCAGGAAGCTTTTACTCATGGCAGAAGGTGAAGAGGGAGTAGGTGTGTTATGTGGCAAGAGGAAGCAAGAGATAGAAGAAGAGGTGCCAGACTCTTTTTAACAATCAGATCTCCCATGAGCTAATAGAGTGAAAACTCGTATATTAGTTTGGGAGGGAGCACCAAGCCATTCATGAAAGTTCTGCCCTAATGACCCAAAGACCTCTTACTAGGCCACTCCTCCAACACTGGAGATCACATTTCAACATGAGCTTTGGAGTAGCAAATATTCAAACTGTATCAATCACTAATTATCAGGGAAATGCATATCAAAACCTAAATGACATATCAAATCACACCCATTAGAATGGTCATTATAAAAAAAAAAAGCTAGAAAATTACCAGTGTTGGTGAGGATGTAGAAAAACTGGCATCCTCATGCAGCACTGGAAATGTAGCATGGTGCATCTGGTATGGAAAATATCATGGAGGTTACTAAAAAAAATAAAAATAGAATTACCATAAAATTTAGCAATCCCTCTTATGAATATGTATTCAAATGTTTTGAAAACAGAATCTTAAAGATACAGCTGCACTCCCATGTTCACGGCAGCATTATTCACAATAACTAAGAGATGGACTGTATCTAAATGTTCATTTAAAGATGAATGAATAAAGAGAATGTAAATTTATATAGCAAAATATTATTCAGCCTTAAAAAGGAAAAAAAAGTCATATGCTGCAACCTTAAGGCTATTATACTAAGCAAAATAAACCAGTCACAAAAAGGCAAATATTGCATGAATCCACTTATAGAGGTATCTAAAATAGTCAAACTCTTAGAAACAGAAAGTATAATTGTTGTTGCAAAGGGCTGGGGGCGGGAGGAAAGAAGGTTTGTTCAGTGGATATAGAGTTTCAGTGCTACGGGATGAAAAACTTGTAAAGCTCTATTGCATAATGCTGTGCCTATAATAACCCTTCTATATTGTACACTTAAAATGGCAGGTATGGTAAATTTTATGCTAATAAAATTAGTAAATATATAAAAAATTGATAATGGTGGTGATTAGTCTTTCAAGGAAATTTTATACTTATCTTTCTCTATTCATCTATAACAATACATTTATAGAAATTTATCAACAACTATTGATTACCTCAGGTAATCCTATAATCAAAATTTGAATCACATCAGTTAAGGTCACAGAACTGTTTCACTTAAAGCCTCATTGTTAGCAACAACCATAGCTGGGCTCATTACAATTATCACTAGCACTAGCATTATGGCCTTGGGTGTCATTAAGCTCATTTCCTCACATTTGAATCTCAAGATGTCAGAACCTGTTTAAGGATTAAAGAATATAATATTAATATAATTGCTGATGCAGTGTCTGGTATCTAATAAGCTCTCAAAAACACTAGCTATTCTTATTCCCACTGTTACCATTGTCTTCATGCAAAGTAAATGACATGTAAGAAGTAAACAGGTTTTATGGATTCAAAAATTTTTCTCATAAGTAAAATTAGTATTTTTGTAGTAAACTCCTATTTAGCAAAGCTGTATTTTATAAGCAAATTGTTCTTTCAATAAGGAGCAGTGGTCTTTATTGACTGTATTTTAAAGAGTAGCTGCAAAATTAAGCTAATGAAAAAAAGTTTAAGTTTTCTCCTTTACAAACACTATTCCATACTTTCTCAATTTAAATTGTAACATAAATGATGACATTTCAGACTTCTTCACGTACATTTCCTAGTGTATCTTAAAATCTAACAAGATATTCTAGTGAAGATGTGTAGGAAGGTCAAATAATTATGGGTTATACTATATGCTATATTCATCCCTTTGAGATTCATGATATATTTAATATTTGTGAAAGACTCCGAGAAGTGCTAAAATAGAGAAACTATTTGATCCTTGAGACACTCTTTATTCAAACACACACTTTCAAATAAGTTTCACTAAAATGCCTTTGAGAGATGCTTCACTAGACAAGTAGAAATGAATCTTTGTGTTAAGTAATTAAAACAGCATAACTAAAATGTTTAAATGTTTAAATTAGGTGCACTTTAATGAGTTTATTACAAGTAGAAACAAAACCAGTTAAACAGAAGCAAAACAACAAAATAAAACAATAATTAAAATGGCCGCAAATATGATATAAGGAAATTAATTTAAAATTTTAAAAATAAAAAATATTGAATAAAATCTAACTTAAACTAGAAGTATACACATTTAGAAGCTTAGCTTCTCTATTGAATACAAATCTTTAATTTTCTCTGTAATTTCTCTTTAGGAACTCCTTCAAAAAAAAAACAATAAAATGATTTTCATTCTAAGAATAAATGGCATTAAAAATAAAAAATAAACAAGCTAAAACCAAATACTCAAATACAGTAGCTTATTATTTCCACACTCCACCTGAAGCCATTCAGCCACTCCCTTTGATATGTATATATTCATTGCACATTCCTTGAGAGGATTGATTTATATATGAATTTAGTCGATAGGTATATGTATGCAATAAAGATATCCTTTTAGTTCTCTAAATTGTGTAATAAAGTTATCAAATCTATCAATTTCTGAATGGCATGAGACCTCAGTGGTTGATGATGTATGAAGAGTTCACGCCATTACCTTGACTATTTTTATTTGTGGAAATCTCAGAGTTATTCACATGCTATCAGGGTGCCAATCTCATTTTGATGAGAGTCACCATGTCACAGGTATCTTTATTTCAAAAATTCCACACAGTATATTGTAATTAGTCACTTAGAATAAATATTGAAATAATTATAAATTTTGAAAAAGCCCTTTGGGCATCAATAAAAAGTCACAGTCAAAACTAAAATTCCAGATGTTGGGAAGAGTGAAAAGAATGACTGCAAAACAAGAATAAGTAATTTAAATTGTTATGATGTAGATGTAAAGAGAGGTGTGGGGATCATGTTTGGATGACATGTGGATTGTTGTGTTTCTTTTCTTGAACATTTATTTTTCACAAGGTGTTTATTATGTACTTTCCTAAGAGCATCTCTCCCCAAAATTATTAGATGAGCACAACTTATGCACCACCCTGTTTGACATTCTGGCCAATAGAACTTTCAAATAGAGAATTTGGAGCAGAACATCACATATACCCTAAAATTTAAAGCAGTAAAATTTAGGAAATTTTAGAAAGAAAGCACTTCAGATGTAAAAAAGCTAAGTAGTAATTTTTAAATATACTTCAAATTCATTTTGGTTTATGGACTTATATAGTATATAAAAATTAAGTTATAAAATATTGTGAATAGGGTTAAATAGGAATACATTTAAAAGGAAAGAATGCAGACTTGAGTTTTGCCTGAATTGAAACATGTATGGCAATGAAATATCTCAAAAAATGTTTGGTAGTGATAATACAATAACTAAACATGAATATATCCACGCGTTGGACATTGGGAGATTGTTGAAAAGTTGTTGTACTAAATTTTTTTCATTTAAAATTCCATGCTTTTGAATATCATATTTGCTACTAAATATCACATTAACCCTCATACAGCATTGCTAGAAATCATCTCAAGTCATCTTAATTTTTAAGCAATGTTTCAATAATTTTATTTTAAAATTTATCACATACTAAAAAGAAGATTCAGCGTAATTAATGATATTAAATATTAATATTACTAAAAGACCACAGCTAGAACATATTTTTTAAAATCATTGCTTTGTTTTACACATATTAATATTATCTCTTTGCCACAGTTGACAATTTATAATCTGAGACAAGGATAAGAACAATTTTGGTTTAATTTCAGTAACTTCAAAAAGATACAGTAAATCTCTTTGATAATGAATATCCAATCTAAATGTATTGTGCTGCATAATAGCTGAACATATGTAACATTTTCAAGTATGATTTGCAGATAAAATTGGTAACAGCAGCTTGATATAGTAAGAGTGCTCTCTTTTAAGTTTTTCTCCATAATGACACTCAAACCCTAACTTCACAGATGTGATATTTTTTGTTTAATTTATGCTATTGAATTTTATTTTCTTCTTAGTGTGTATAGTCAGATGATTATAATGGTATATGCTATTTTAGACTATAGTATGAAAATGGTTGTTTGACTCAGTGTCACTGCACTTCGAACAGGTGGCTCCTGTTTTTAAGAGTAAGATTATAAATTATGATTATTTATAGATTTTGTGCAAACAACATAGCTCTATAATATGAAATGTAAGGTTAACTGCTAGTGTTTAAAATGGTGAAAATTTTATATATTGGTACAAATAATAAAATTGGTTTCTGGTTATATTTATGCATTACGGTTCAAATGATCATATTAAAGGAAGAGCTTGTTTCATCTTAATTTTTAAGTAAACTATAAAATATAAACCACATATTCAGTAATGCTTGTGTCTAGTCACTCAAAGCATTCACTTGTGTTAGACCTATGTTATTTCTTTTCTCTAGTAGAAAGCCATTTAATGGCCAGGAAACAAAATGTTCCAAAGGACCCTGAGTTATACTAATACAGCTGTTTCTGAATACAGCGGTAATACAGCGGTATTCTGAAATACCTTTTGAAACAGTTTTTTACTTCTTTGTTTGTTTTCTCTCAGACCATTCTCCATAACAATGAAACTCTTAAGGCTAGAACATATTACCAGTTCAATGTATGTGAATAATCAGCTTAATAATGATAGTATGTATAATCACTATGTATTTTCTAGATAGCTCTAAATTGTTAACATTATTTTCCTTTAAAATAAGTAATATATTCACTGTAAAAAATTTAAAATACTACAGATCAACAAAATAAGGAAAAAATATAATCTTTCCACAGAGGTGAATTTTTGTGGAAAATACAACTTGTAAAATAATTCACATATGCATAGTATATGACTTCACAGAACTTACAGTATTACAGAGGAGACAGATGAAAAAGAGAAAAATAAAATAATTGGGATTTGTATCAAAATTTTTGAGGACAATAAGTTAGGTACTAGGTTAGAATGAAGAGGGGAGTCTACATTTAAATAGGGCATTCAGGGAAACCTTTTCTGGAAAGGTCATCTTCAAACTATTAAATATTAGTTAAAGAAAAGGGAACCTAACAGAAGGAAGACAGAAAGAACATTACCGGTTGCAAATGTCCTGCTACATGAAATACCCTGACATATTTAGAACATAAATATAAATATTAGTATTATTGGACATGGTTAGCAAATAGGAAGGACTGTAGGAAAAGTAGGAAAGAGATATAATGCAATGCACTCTAGAATATAGTAAAGTTAGGAATTTATTTCTGGTGAAAGACAACACCAGCGAAGGAATGTGGAGGAAACATTTAGTAAGCTCACAAAGTCAGGTCAACTGGATTATGACTGGAACTAAAGTGGAAATAGATTTTACTTATTTCGAAAGAAGAACTGATAGGATATGGTCATGAATTTGAAGCTGGTGAGTGAGAGAGAGAGAAAGATTGAGGCTGCACTAAATTCATTTTTTGAGCAAAAGAATGGATACTAAATCTCTTAGAAAAATGGGGAAGATTGGAGTTTGGAAAACAGCACATTTTCTGAAAAACAAAGATAACTTTATTTTAATTATGTCCAGTTTGAAATATCTGGGACATATCCAAATGGAGATATGAGCTGGTAAGTTATATATCATATATATACGTGGGAGATACGTGTCAGAGGACGCATGACCTGGAAATACAAATTTGTGAACTACAGCATTAAATGTAGTATTCAAATAAAGTGAAATTGGGAGTCACCTTAGAAGAGTGTTGAGAAAAAAAGTGCACTGATAACATGGGGAAATCCTGTCTTTAGAGAAGGGTGATTCTGAAGCATCAAGACTGAGATGAAAGAATCTCCTAGTGATAATGCTGAGAAGAAAAGAAACAAGGGAAGAACGCTGTATAATAAGCCCTAATTTCCTTTTTAAAATATATTTGTATGTATATTATATATATATTAAATGTATATTTGTATTTATATATGTATAAATTTTTGTCATTGAAAATATTTGAAATACCTTTGTTTAGGAAAGCTTAAGCAATTCATACATGAATAGTGACATATTCAGGTTCAGTTCTATGATTCTATATGATTTTCCTCATATTGTCCCTTACCTATATTTTAACATATTTTTTCAAGTATTTCTTATCTTTTTTTATGATTATTATACTTTAAGTTGTAGGGTACTTGTGCACAACGTGCAGGTTTGTTACATATGTATACATGTGCCATGTTGGTGTGCTGCACCCATTAACTTGTCATTTACATTAAGTATATCTCCTAATGCTATCCCTCCCCCTCCCCGTACCCCACAACAGGCCCCAATGTGTGATGTTCCCCACCCTGTGTCCTAGTGTTCTCATTGTTCAATTCCCACTTATGAGTGAGAACATGTGGTGTTTGGTTCTCTGTCCTTGTGATAGTTTGCTCAGAATGATGATTTCCAGCTTCATCCATGTCCCTACAAAGGACATGAACTCATCCTTTTTTATGGCTGCATAGTATTTCAGGGTGTATATGTGCCACATTTTCTTTATGCAGTCTATCATTGGTGGACATTTGGGTTGGTTCCAAGTCTTTGCTATTGTGAATAGTGTCGCAATAAACGTATGTGTGCATGTGTCTTTATAGCAGCATGATTTATAATCCTTTGGGTATATATCCAGTAATGGGATGGCTGGGTCAAATGGTATTTCTAGTTCTAGATCATTGAGGAATCACCACACTGTCTTCCACAATGGTTGAACTAGTTTACAGTGCCACCAACAGTACAAAAGTGTTCCTATTTCTCCACATCCTCTCCAGCACCTATTGTTTCCTGACTTTTTAATGATTGCCATTCTAACTGGTGTGAGATGGTATGTCATTGTGGTTTTGATTTGCATGTCTCTGATGGCCAGTGATGATGAGCAGTTTTTCATGTGTCTGTTGGCTGCATAAATGTCTTCTTTTGAGAAGTGTCTGTTCATATCCTTCACCCACTTTTTGATGGGGTTGTTTTCTTCTTGTAAATTTGTTTAAGTTCTATGTAGATTCTGGATATTAGCCCTTTGTCAGACGGGTAGATTGTAAAAATTTTCTCCCGTTCTGTAGGTTGCCTGTTCACTCTGACAGTAGTTTCATTTGCTGTGTAGAAGCTCTTTAGTTTAATTAGGTCCCATTTGTCAATTTTGGCTTTTGTTGCTATTGCTTTTGGTGTTTTAGTCACGAAGTCCTTGCCCATGCCTAGGTCCTGAATGGTATTGCCTAGGTTTTCTTCTAGGGTTTTTATGGTTTTAGGTCTAACATTTAAGTATTTTATCCATCTTGAATTAAATTTTGTATAAGGTGTAAGGAAGGGATCCAGTTTCAGCTTTCTACATATGGTTAGCCAGTTTTCCTAGCACCATTTATTAAATAGGGAATCCTTTCCCCATTTCCTGTTTTTGTCAGGTTTGTCAAAGATCAGATGGTTGTAGATGTATGGTATTATTTCTGAGGGCTCTGTTCTGTTCCATTGGTCTATATGTCTGTTTTGGTACCAGTATCATGCTATTTTGGTTACTATAGCCTTGTATAGTTTGAAGGCAGGTAGCGTGATGCCTCCAGCTTTGTTCTTTTGGCTTAGGATTGTCTTGGCAATGTGGGCTCTTTTTTCAGTCTATATGAGCTTTAAAGTAGTTTTTTCCAATTCTGTGAAGAAAGTCATTGGTAGCTTGATGGGGATGGCATTGAATCTATAAATTACATTGGGCAGTATGGCCATTTTCACATTATCGATTCTTCCTATCCATGAACATGCAATGTTGTTCCATTTGTTTGTGTCCTCTTTTTTCATTGAGCAGTGGTTTGTAGTTCTCTTTGAAGAGGTCCTTCACATCCCTTGTAAGTTGGATTCCTAGGTATTTTATTCTCTTTGAAGCAATTGTGAATGGGAGTTCACTCATGATTTGGCTCTCTGTTTGTCTGTTATTTGTGTATAGGAATGCTTGTGATTTTTGCACATTGATTTTGTATCCTGAGACTTTGCTGAAGTTGCTTATCAACTTAAGGAGATTTTGGGCTGAGATAAGTATTTCTAAGAAATAATGGATTGTTCAGGATGATTTTGATTTTTTCTGAGTCTAAGTGCATACATATGGCTCATCTATTGGGATGATTTCCCTAATGCTAAGAACAGCCCACTCAAAACCTATTTAGGAGAGAAACAAACACATATTTTTGGAATTAATAAATCCTTCTATGTCTAATTGTCAACATGGATAGATAGTCCCAATCTTAAATTGTTTTTCTTTGTACCGAGAAATATTGTTTTCCAAACATGGAGAGAACTGCATAGAAATTAGCATTACTTCTCTTCTTTCATCTGTAATTTTACTATGTTAGTATTATAATAAAATTACTTTAGAAATTATTGTCCCTTTATTTGCTTTAATCATTATTTTGAAAATTTTTCAAACTTTTATTTTAAAACTTGTACACTGATATTTATATTTTCTCTAGTGTTTAATGAAACAAAAACTGGGGTGCTAATATTTATGAGGAGGGTGACACAGTTACAGAAGCACTAACTGGCTAACTCTAGGGACCCCTGTAAATGTGGACATTTCACTAGATGTGTTTCCATGGGGGATTTTGGCCCAGTTTTGAACTGAGAGCTCCAGGAAGGCGTTGATTAGAAGCAGTCTGGAGTAGAATATACAAGAAACGACTATAAGGACTTTCCTGGAAAAGTGTTGTAAAGTGTCTCTGTCCACTTTGGAGGTTGATTTAGAGTTGAGTGAAGGACCTCTGTGCTTAGAAAAGATAAACATGACTCGAGAAAGGAATGAAAGTAGACCCCTCAAATGAAGATTGGCCATGGGAAGAATGTTGGTAAACTTAGCCAAATTGCTTAAGAAGCAGGCTTTAGAATGAAATGAGGAAGGAGAATGATCCCTATGCTTCCAATGGTAAGTTAGATAATTATGTAAAATATTACGGTTTTATAAAAGGTCAGTTTTGGCTGGGGGTTGTGGCTCACGCCTGTAATCCCAGCACTTTGGGAGGCCGAGTTGGGCAGATCACGAGGTCAGGAGTTCGGGACCATCTTGGCCAACATGGTGAAACCCTGCCTCTACTGAAATACAAAAAATTAGCTGGGCATGGTGGCACGTGCATGTAATCCTAGCTACTTGGGAGGCTGAGGCAGGGGAATCGCTTGAATCCGGGAGACGGAGGTTGCAGTGAGCTGAGATTGCACCACTACACTCCAGCCTGGCAACAGAAAAAGGCTCCGTCTCAAAAAAAAAAAAAAAAGTCAGTAGTTTCATATGCAATTTGCAGTATCAGTTGTGTTAATTAAGATTTTTCTTATACTTTCTTGTTTACAGTGCATGAAAATTGGAAACACAAACTGCTTTTTATGTTTAAAGTGACCATACGATTTGTTGTCAAAACTGAAATACTTTTGAAAATAAAATTTTGCAATGTTAATAATTATGTCAGGCCAACTGGCATAAACTAGGACCATTTTGGGCAAACAAGGATATATGGTCATGTAAACGTACAATAGTTTGTCAGATAATCTGAGTGGAGAGTAGGCTTCTAGGTATTCCTCAAAACAATGACCTCAATCTTCCTTGTACATTGTCTGTGGGGTGTATGTGGATGTGTGGGTATGTGTGTTTTCGTGTTTAAAGAGCTGTTATTTTTGTTTTTTGAAATGGGGAAAATTTAATTTAAACCTTGAGAATTTCTCAAAAAATTGTTCTACAAACGTAATCAATAATTTTCTGGAATAATTCAGTTGTGAAGGACTAAAAATGTAAACGTCTATAAATGGGCATTTGTCTGCAAATGAATAATATTAAAATTTGCCAATTATCAAATCGAAAACACTGCCATGACATAACATTAATTTTTACAAAATAGGGAATTCATATGATAAACATACATCCACTTTATTTCTATGATTTAATTAAACCGCTGGATTTTACATCAGAGATATTGGGAGCTCAAGTAATTTATTCAAAGCCATGTATATATTTTAATCTTCAGACAGCATAAAGATGTACTCTAAAAGTAAATTTAAAATACAAATTGTTATTAATATATGCACTGTTAATAGGCATCAGTTAGTTTATTGGCCATCTCTATTATGTTAAAGACAATTATCTAGTCCACACCTGCCTGCAGGGGAATTCAGGGCACAAGATAATTATAAGCTCTTATATCTTTGTATCTCAGCTCCTGTTTTACTTTGCTAAAATTATACTTTCTATCAAAATCACCTCTTTGCTCAAAAATAGGAAGAGAATAAGATCCTCAAGGTGTTTAGAGAACTACCATTTTCTCTCCGGCCCATGTGACTGAGAATTTTCCCACTACATCATACTGTTTTCATTCCAAACTTCATTCCTGAGGTCTTTGTTACAGGCCTTCTCTGGCACTCGTAATGCTGTGTCCTGCACACTGGTATTTAGTCTGTAAAATGGACATTTTCCTCTCTGCCAACAACCATGATCATTTTCACAAAAAGCAGCAATCCTTTTCCAACTTTCTTTTGTCAAAGCAAAATTGCACTGGACAATGTTCAATAAGCAAGGAAGACTTTATTCAAGGGAATGGTAATAGGAAAGGAGACATGGACTCAGTCTGAACTTAATTCTGCTAAAGAAAAGAGTAGAACAGTTTTTAAGTGTTGAAGCGAGCTAGAGAAAAAGTACAGAAGGGTTAGTGGGGAGAATTTTCAATGAGATGTGTTGAAGATATTTGAGTTATTCCTGAGTTTTCAAATGATTTTGTCTGTGAATAGGCCATCTGTGTTTGCTAATTGGCACCCATTAATGTTAGGCTGCTACCCTTCTACAGATACATCATCTTTGATGTATTACATTTCAAAGAGATGGTTCCCAAGCTCTTGGAAAGATATTAGTGGGCTGTGAAACTGGCAAGAGGCTTTTAAAATAATTTACATACATCTTAAAAATTTAGTCAAGTTGAAGGAAACATTATGACCACCATCTTGGTCATGTTAATGTTATCACACAGTGAATTTAACTTCCCCTGGGAAGTTTAAATCAACTAATGGGTTCTCTCTGTCTTTAGCTTTTCTCCCAATTAGCAATTTAGTCTTAATTTTTCTTCTCTGATCCACAGGCTATTGTACTCTAATTATAGTCTTACTTTTTTGACCTCTGTAAGGCTTTTCTAGTCAGCTCAACTCTTGCCACAGAACAATCTTCTCTATTTTCATTCTCATTTACTACCCATTATGTCTCTAATCTCACCTGGTAGGTTGATCCAACATTGCACAATTTGTCAAAAATATTGTAATGTTGTATCCCACCTTATTAACAAGCAAATATTGAGTAAAAGTACTGTCGAATGCAAGTGTTTAATTTATAAAAGTACATTTCAAGTACAGATCAGTATGGTATGACTCAATCAACTATGTGTTTAGAAAATATTTTAGGAATTAAAAAACATTGTTTGGCTGACTTCCTTTAAATTAGTCATAAGCATATTTTAATTGTGAAAAAATGATGTCATGAAAATTTAAGAGTAAAAATATGTCAGTGATTATCTTATTAATTAATTTAGAGGAAAAAATGTTTATCTGGAAAAAGATGTAAAACAAACACAAGAATCTGATATTCTATTGTTGTTGCTGAAAGCTGAAGAAAGAATATTCTAGCCTATAGAGTTGGATGATTCACCCAGCTTTTAAAAAAACTCTTCATTACTTATTTCAATTCTAATGAAAGTATATAGGTAAGTAATCTTATTTTTAGTAAATTATCAGTCTATTAAGTGGATTGAGTTTAATTAATAAGTTCATCTTTAAGAACTAATAGTTGTTACCACCAGAGGTGATATCATATGCCAAATTTATAAGATAGTGAGAATTTAGGACATACTTTAATTTGATTTGAGACTTTATTCTTAAATATAGGAAGCAAAAAAGTGATATTATTAAGTTTGTATTTATAAAAGTGAGCTCTTCTTTAGTACAGGAGGCTCGCTGGAATTGGCCTAGACAGAAAACAGAAAACCCAGTTAAGAAGCTGTGTTATTAAGGCAGATTCAATTTGGTGTTTCAAATTGAAGTATTCCTTTCTGAAGTATTTTTTGAAAGTCTACTATGTGAATTAATGTGAAATGAAGGAGAAACGGTGGATATAGAGCAAATTTAGGAAATTTTAGTCATTTTGGAGATAGAAAAGCTTGAATTAGAAAATTGTATTTATCTTTTCAATCTTTTGTAGAGTATAGAGCATAAGAAGAAAGTATGCTACTGATGTTAAGAAATCAGCAATTAATGACATTGAAAAATTATCATTTATTTTTTGTTCTCCGAAATTATAACTCTCATTAAATCAAGCTTAGCCTAAAGCTGCCTCCTTACACATATATATAAGTAAATACATATATAAATACATATAAAAATATATAAATACATACATATATTAATATATTTATTTATTTCAATAGGTTTTTGGGGAACAGTGGTATTTGGTTACATGAATAAGTTCTTTAGTGGTGATTTCTGAGATATTGGTGCACTTATCACCTGAGGAGTGTACACTGTGCCCAATGTATGGCCTTTTATCTCTTATCCCCCTCCTACCCTTTTCCCTGAGTCCCCAAAGTCCATTGTATTATTCTTATGTCTTTGTGTCCTCATAGCTTAGCTCCCAGTTATGAGTGACGACATACAATGTTTGGTTTTTCACTCCTGAATTACTTCACCCCAATTCCAATTTCATTCAGGTTGCTGCAAATGCCATTATTTCATTCATTTTCATGGCTGAGTAGTATTCCATGGCATATATACACCACATTTTGTTTTTCCACTCATTGATTGATGGGCATTTGGTCTGGTTCCATATGTTTGCAATTGCGAATTGTGCTGCTATAATCATGTGGGAATCTCTTTCGTATAATAACTTCTTTTCCTCTGGGTAGATACCCCGTAGTGGGATTGCTCAATCAAATGGTGGATCTACTTTTAGTTCTTTAAGGAATCTCCACATTGTTTTCCATAGTGGTTGTACTAGTTTACATTCCCACTAGCAGTGTAAAAGTGTTCCCTTTTTGCCACATCCATGCCAACATCTATTATTTTTTGATTTTTTAATTATGGCCATTCTCGCAGGAGTAAGGTGGTATCTCATTGTGGTTTTGTTTTTCATTTCTCTGATAATTAGTGATATTGAGTACTTTTTCATATGTTTCTTGGACATTTGTATATCTTTTTTTTTTTTTGAGAATTGTCTATTCATGTCGTTAGCTCACTTTTTGATGAGATTGTTCATTTTTTTCTTGCTGATTTGTTTCAGTTCTTTGTAGATTCTGGATATTAGTTTTTTGTCAGATGTATAGATTGCTAAGATTTTCTCCCACTCTGTGGCATGTCTGTTTATTGATTGTTTCTTTTGCTGTTCAGAAGCTTTTTAGTTTAAGTCCCATCTATTTATCATTGTTTTTGTTGCATTTGTTTTGGGTCATGAAGTATTTGCCTAAGCCAATGTCTAGAGGGTTTTTCCAATGGTATCTTCTAGAATTTTTATGGCTTCAGGTCTTAGATTTAAGTCTTTTATCCATCTTGAGTTGATTTTTGAATAACTTGAGAGATGAGGATCCAGTTCCATTCTTCTACATGGGGCATGCCAGTTATTCCAGCACAGTTTGTTGAATTGTCCTTTCCCCATTTTACGTTTTGGTTTGCTTTGTTGAAGATCAGTTGACCATGAATAGTTGGCTTTATTTCTGGGTTCTCTGTTCTGTTCCATTAGACTCTGTGCCTATTTTTATACCAGTGCCATGTTGTTTTGGTGACTATAGACTCATAGTATAGTTTGAAGTCAGGTAATGTGATGCCTCCAGATTTGTTCTTTTTGCTTAGCCCTGCTTTGGCTATGTGGGTTATTTGTTGGTTCCATATGTATTTTAGGATTTTTTTTTCCTAGTTCTATGAAGAATGATAGTGGTATTTTGATGGAAATTGCATTGAATCTGTAGATTGCTTTTGGCAGTGTGGTAATTTTGACAATATTGATTCTACCCATCTATGAGGATGGGATGTTTCCACTAGTTTGTGTCATCTGTTATTTCTTTCAGCAGTATTTTGTAGTTTTCCTTGTAGAGGTGTTTCACCTCCTTGCACCTCCTTGGTTAAGTATGTTCCTAAGATTTTTTTTTTCCAGTTATCGTGAAAGGGATTGAGTTCTTGATTTGATTCTCAGCTTGGTTGCTGTTGGTGTATAGCAGGGACACTGATTTTTGTACATAAATTTTGTATCTTGAAACTTTGCTGAATTCATTTACTAGTTCTAGGAACTTTTTGGATGAGTTTTTAAGATTTTCTATGTATACAATCAAGTCATCAGCAAATAGTAACAGTTTCACTTCCTCTTTACTAATTTGAATGTCCTTTATTTCTTTCTCTTGTTTGATTGTTCTGGCTAGAACTTCCAGTAAATTTTGAATAGAAGGGGTAAAAGTGGGCATCCTTGTCTTGTTCCGGGTCTCAGGGGAATACTTTCAACTTTTCCCCACTCTGTGTAATGTTGGCTGTGGGTTTATAAATGACTCTTAGTATCTTAAGGTATGCCTCTTCTATGCTGATTTTGCTGAGGTTTTTAATCATAAAGGGATGCTGGATTTTGTCAAATGCTTTTTTCTCCATCTATTGAGATGATCATGTGATTTTTGTCTTTAATTCTGTTTATGTGGTGTATAACATTTATTGATTTGCATATGTTTAACCATCCCTGCATCCCTGGTTTGAAACCCACTTGATCATGGTGGATTATGTTTCTGATACGCTGTTGGATTCGGTTAGCTAGTATTTTGTTGAAAATTTCTGCATTAATATTCATCAAGGATATTGGCCCGTAGTTTTCTTTTTTTGTTTTGTCTTTTCCTGGTTTTGGTGTTAGGGCAATACCAGCTTTATAGAATGATTTAGGGAGGATTCCCTCTTTCACTATCTTGTAGAATAGTGTCAATACGACTGCAACCAGTTCTTTGAATGTCTGATAAAATTCAGCTGTGAATCCATCTGGTCCTGGACGTTTATTGGTTGGCAAAATTTTTATTACCATTTGAAACTTCCTGCTTGTTATTGATCTATTCAGAGTTTCTATTTCTTCCTGGTTTAATCTAGGAAGGTTGTATAATTCCAGGAATTTATCCATCTCCTCTAGGTTTTCTAGTTTATGTGCATAGAAGTGTTCATAGTATCCTTGAATGATCTTTGGTATTTATGTGGTATCAGTTTTAGTATCCCCCGATTCATTTCTAATTGAGTTTATTTGCATCTTTTTTTCTCTTTTCCTGGTTAATATCACTAATGGTCTATCAATTTTCTTTGTCTTTTCAAAGAACCAGCTTTTTGTTTCATTCATGTTTTGTATTTTTTTTGTTTGTTTGTTTCAATTTTATTTAGTTCTGCCCTGATCTTTTTTTATTTATTTTTTTCTACTTGGTTTGGGTGTGGTTTGTTTTTGTTTCTCTGGTTCCATGAGGTGTGACCTTAGATAGTTTATTTGTGCTCTTTCAGACTTTCTGATGTAGGCATTTAAGGTTATGACCTTTCCTCTTAACACTGCCTTTCCGTATCCTAGAGGTTTTGATAGGTAATATCACTATTATCATTCAGTTCAAAGAAATTTTCAACTTCCATCTTGATTTCATTGTAGACTCAACAATCATTCAGGCACAGGTGAATTTATATGTATTTGGATGGTTTTGAGGGTTCGTTCTGAAGTTGATTTTCAACTTTATTCCACTGTGGCCTGAGAGAGTACTTGATGTAATTTTAATTTTTTTTTTTTTTTGAGATGGAGTCTCACTCTGTCACCCAGGCTGGAGTACAGTGGCGTGAACTTGACTGACTGCAACATCCACCTCCCAGATTTAAGCGATTCTCCTGGCTGAGCCTCCTGAGTAGCTGGGTCTACAGGCATGTACCACCACACCTGGCTAATTTGGTATTTTTAGTAAAGATGGAGTTTCCCTATGTTTGTCATGCTGGTTTTGATCCTGACCTTGTGATCCACCCATCTTGGCCTCCTGAAGTGCTGGGATTACAGGCATGAGCCACTGTAATTTCAATTTTCTTAAATTTGTTAAAATCTGTTTTGTGGCCGATTATGTGGCCTATCTTGGACCATATGATGATGAATAGAATGAATATTCTTCAGCTATTGGGTAGAAAGTTCTGTAAATATTTTTAAGTTCATTTGTTCTAGGGCAGAGTTTAAGTCTATTGTATCTTTGTTGACTTTCTGTCTTGATGACCTGTCTATTGCTGTCAGTAGAGTATTGAAGTCTCCCACTACTATTGTGTTGCTGTCTATCTCATTTCTTAGGTCCTGTCATAGTTGTTTTATATATTTAGAAGCTCTAGTTTTAGATGCATATATATTTAAGACTGTAATATTTTCCTAATAGAAAAGTCTTTTTATCATTATATAATGTCCCTCTTTGCATATTTTTAACTGCTGTTGCTTTAACCTTTGTTTTGTCTGATATAAGGATAACCACTCCTGCTTGCTTTGGTGTCAATTTGCTTGGAATATCTTTTGCACCACTTTACTTTAAGTTTATATGAGTCCTTATTGTCATGCATGTCCATGTGAAGAGACCACCAAACAGGCTTTTTGTGAGCAACAAGTCTGCTTATTTCACCTGGGTGCAGGCAGGCTGAGTCCGAAAAGAGAGTCAGTGAAGGGAGACAGGTGTGGGGCTGTTTTATAGGATTTGGGTGGGTAGTGGAAAATTATAGTCAAAGTGGGTTTTTCTCTAGCTTCCAGGGATGGGGGTCACAAGGTGCTCAGTGGGGAAGCTTTTGAGCCAGGATGAGCCAGGAGAAGGAATTTCACAAGGTAATGTCACCAGTTAAGGCAGGAACAGGCCATTTTCACTTCTTGTGTGATTCTTCAATTACTTCAGGCCATTTGAATGAATACCTGCAGGCTTGGGCTCAGAGGCCTGACACTTATGTGTTAAGTGAGTCTCTTGAAGATAGCAGATACTTGGTTGATGAATTCTTACTCATTCTGCCATTCTGTATCTTTTAAGTCGAGCATTTAGGCCATTTTCATTCGAAGTTAATATTGAGATGTGAGATACTATTCATTCTATTATGCTATTTGTGGTCTGAATACCTTGCTTTTTTGTTCATTGTGTTATAGTTTTATACATCCTGTGAGATATATGTTTTAAGGAGGTTGTATTTTTATGTATTTTGAGGATTTGTTTCATGGTTTAGAACTGCTTTTAGCAGATATTGTAGTGCTGGCAAATTCTCTCATCATTTGTCTGAAAAATACTGTATCAGTCCTTCATTTATGAAGCTTAGTATTGATGGATACAAAATTCTTGGCTGACAATTGTTTTGTTTAAGGAGGCAAAAGATAGGACTCCAATCCCTTCTAGCTGTAGGGTTTCTGGTGAGAGATCTGCTGCTAATCTGATAGCATTTTTCTTTTTAATAGTTTACCTGGAGTTTTCCATCAAAGCTCTTAAGATTCTTTCCTTTGTCTTGACTTTAGATAACCTGATTATTATGTGCCTAGGCAATGATCTTTATGTGATATCAATTTCCCAGGTATCCTTCAAGCTTTTTGTATTTGAATGTCTAGATCTCTAGCAAGGCCAGGGAAGTTTTTATTGATTATTTCCTCATGTATGTTTTCCAAAATTGTAGATTTATCTTCTTCCTCATGAACACCAATTATTCTTAGGTTAAAAAGTTTAACATAATCCCAAACTTCTTGGAGGCTTTATTCACTTTTTTAAATTCTCTTTTCTTTGACTTTTTTTTGGATTGGGTTAATTTGAAAGTCATATCTTGGAGCTCTGAAGTTCTTTCTTCTACTTTTTAAAAATTCTATTGCTGACACTCTCTACTGTATTTTGCATTTCTTTAAGTGTGCCCTTCATTTCCAGAAGTTGTGATTATTTTTTATTTATGCTATTTCTCTGGAGATTTTTTTGTCCATATCCTGTAACTTTTCAAAATTTATTTGAGTTTGTGTTTATCTTTCTCTGGTGCCTCCTTGAGTACCTTAATAATAGACATGATTTTTTTTTCCCCTGGCAATTTGGAGATTTCTTCTTGGTTTGGGTTCACTGCTGGTGAGTTAGTGTGATCTTTTGGGGGTGTTAAAAAACTTTTTTTGTCTTATTACCAGAATTGTTTCTGGTTTCCTCTCGTTTGCATAGACAATGTCAGTGGGAAGATCTGGGGCTCAAGGGCTGCTGTTCAGATTCTTTCATCCCATGGGGTGCTCCCTGGATATGGGTGTCCAGGTTGTTTCTTTCTGAGAGCCCAACTGCAGTGATTGTTATTTCTCTTCTGGATCTAGCCATCCAGTGGAGCTACCATGCTCCAGGCCGGTACTGGAGAGTGTCTACAAAGAGTCCTGTAATGTGATTTGTCTTCAGATGTCTCAGCCCTGGATACCAGCACCTGCTGCAGCGATGGTAGCATGGGAGTGAAGTGGATTCCGTGAAGGGCCTTGGTTATATTTTTGTTTATTGCACTAGTTTTGTGTTTGTTGGCCTTCAGCCAGAAAGTGGTGCTTTCAGTTGCAGTGATATAGAGAGGATCCAAGCTTGCCCTAGGGTCTCCTGGATAAGTTTTTCCGGTGGTGGGCAGGGCCATAGAGGTCCCAAGAGATTATGTCCTTTGTTTTTGGCTGCGATAAGGGTAGAGAAAGACCATCAGGTGGGGGCAGGGTTAGGTGTGTTTGAGCCTAGACTGTCCTTGGGCAGGGCTTGCTGTGACTGCTGTAGGGGAGGGGAGTGTGGTTCTCAGGCTGATAGAGTTGTGCTCCCAGAGGGATTATCACTGCCTTTGCTGTGTTATGCAGGTTGCCAGGGAAGTGGGAGACAGCTGGCAGTTACAGGCTTCACTCAGCTCCCACACAGCCTGAAAGGCTGGTTTCAATCCTATTGTGCCCCTCTAACAGCACCAAGTTTATTTCAAGGCAGCCAGAGACTTGCCTCAGGTTCCAGGCCTCCCCACTGGGAAAACAAGCAAGGCTTTCAGGTTTTGCACCTCCCCGCCTATCACAACTTCTTTGCTATGCCTGCATGTCCAGTTCACCCTCTCCCCCAGTTTCTGTCCAGGAAATTTTTCTTTCAGTAGAAATTGTTACAAAGTTTAGCTGGAGGTTTCCTTCTCCCTGTGGTCTTTCCCCATTTCCACTGGCAGCCCTCCCCAAGGATCCCTATGAGACAAAGTCAGAAATGGCTTCCCTGGGGACCACAAGTGCCCGCAGGGTTCTTCCCATTGCTTCCTCTACCCCTGTATTTCACTCAGCTCTCTAAGCTCATCTAGGCTCTAGTTAAGATTAAATCCTTCTCCAGTTATCTGGACCTTCAGGTCCACCTGTGAGAATGTGTGTTGGGGACAGACAATCTCCCTTTCTCACTTTCACACTTGGGGCACTCACAGTTTTTTGGCTGTCTCCTGGAGCCTGCAGCAGCAATCCACTTCCTTCAAAGGGCCTGTGGATTGTCTTAGCTTTCCTGGTATGTTACTTTGGTAGTTCTTGGAGCGAAAATTCATGGTGTGTCTCTACATGCTGCTCTGTCCATCCAAGTGGGAGCTGCAAGTTAGTCTTGCCTCCTATCTACCATTTTCTCAGTCAGTCTCCCTCCTTACATATTTTAAATTCAATCTAAAGGTTTCTTTGTAAATCATAAACTATAACCTAAATGAAATTGTAAACAGACTATAGCTTACTCTTCTGCCAATCACCAAGTTTTAGCCAAAGGTGGCCAACTGTTCAAATAAGGCAAATTTGGTAAACACTGAGCTGTAACCAATCTGGCTGTTTCTGTACCTCACTTCCATTTTCTGCATTTCACTTTCCTTTTTCTGTCCATAAATCTTCTTCCACTGCACGAAAGTCTCTAAGACTACTCTGGCTCAAGAGGCTGCCTTATTTGTGAATTGTTCTTTGCTCAGTTAAACTCTTTTAAATTTATTTTGGCTGATGTTTTTCGTTTAACATGTTCTTGTAATACTTTCTTTGGTGGTATTCAGCATCTATGGATATTTATAGATAGTAGAATCCATAATCAAAAATTGAAACAGTAACACCAGAAAATCACTTTTCCACTCCTCTCTGGTAAAACATTGACTGATAAGACGTTAAAGCCTAGTCAGCTGAAGACTACCAGGACAAACTGGTATTCCTGCAAAATCAGCTTTATTGACTCACAGAGAGGAAGAGTAATTAGAGGAATGAGAAATGCCCTTCAAAAAAGAGAAAGTAAGGAGCTTTCACAAGGTTTGGATTATTATTGAAGGATTCCAAGGAGGGCATGAAAGAAGCAAGGATGAGTTCTGTATTTGTTGCTTTTTCTCAGAGAGGACAGAGAGCAGCAAGGATTGACCAGGGGCTGGTGACTTAGCAATTAAGTATCCCCAGGAATCAATGGGAATAGCAAAATAGATCTTGGGATATTATGGTAAGAAAGCAGTAATCCATAAAAAGGGTGTCCTTATGGTATTTTATAGCTGCTGCACAACCTTTGCAAAAACGAAGTTTGCTGTTCAATTTGAAGCTGCTTTTATCTATCTATATCTATGTCTTCTATTCTGATAAATGGCAAAGCTTTTCTTTTTCTGCAGTCTAAGCTTATTTCTACATTTTTAGTCCTGAAGAGTGTTTATTATTTCTCTGTTCTTGCCAATTAGATGAATTTACCCTTGACTTTGGATTCAGGAACCAGAAATTTATAGAGCAAGGAGGAGGTCTATGGAGAATCCATTCTTGAGGTAAGCCAGAGTGGCAGTGCAGCAACATGCAAATGGAGGTGATGCTGGCAGATTCATAATCTCTCTAGTCCCTTGTCAGAACTATTGGCAACAGTTCTTGGAAGACAGATATTATACCATGGTTTGGGTTATTAGAGCAGCTTCAGCCTACCTCAAATTCTTCTCCCTACCCTTGTTTCCATATGAACATTTGCCCAATGTTCTGCGAGTTTCCTAATGACCCCTTGACAACCAATTTCTGTTTCTTCTCATACAATGTTGTTCACATTATAAAGAACACAAAATAAGCAGCCAAATTCTGGTTAAACCAGCTTTATGTGGTCTAAATCCTAGAGTTATTTAGAACCCTGATTGCTTAAGACTACAAAATTAATTTGAATTGTCACATATTACAAAAATATATGACCATGTGAAAACAATTCTAGGAACCATTCTAGGGCCTTAGGAAGTATTCTTGCAAAAGATCAGGCCTGAATCTTAAGCTTTACTAAATTCAAAGTAAATGCATAGCTAGCCAATTTGAAAGTCATGTTTGGAGACTTAGACAACAGATCACAAGTCAAGCATTTTTTGCAAATATATTAGCCTTTATTTTAGACATGACATAACATCTATTTTAATTGCATAATCTCTAACTTCAAACACTTGACAGATTGTTGATAGTATTTAAACAGTTTCTGTAACATTAATATTATAAACAATTTACAATAGCTGTCAAAACATAAAGTAATTGTAAGAAACTCACGTACTATATTACCTTAACTCCATTTTCTACAAGAAACAGTCAAAATAATGTTGAAGACAGTAAACTCTTTTAAGTGCAATACAAAAAGTTGTCACCTTAATAATGGCAGTGGCGACCCATCTGGAGCAGTGGCTGTGAAGACGCTGGCTGCAGTAGGGAAGGCATGGTCAGGATTGTGTGCTCTGCAGGGCCAGCAGGAGACAGGAAAAGGCAGGAGCCCTGCCTCTTACCAAGTTGGTGGGGTAGGAGCCCTGTAGTCTTAGATGCGGCTCTGGACCTGAGCATCCCTGTGCTCTGGGGTGCCCAGGAAGGCCCCTCCTGCCCCTGCAGGCTTGGAAGTGACTGCTTCTGCTGCCTGGCCTCTCCCTGCTCCCAGTGCTCACTCCAATTTTGGAGCAAAGTTGTGGCCAAGCCTGAGCACAGTAACGCCTCCCTGCCACCTTGGAGCCCTCCAGACTTTGGGCACTGATGAGCATGGGAGAGAGGCCAAGTGACTGAGGGCAGCTAAGCATGGACCTACAGGCTCCTGTGGGTACAAACAGCCTGGGTGTTGTGGAGGCATGTTGCTGGTGGGAGGCAGACATTTCTGGGTGGAAAGGGGCAGGTCCCTGCCCACCTTCAGGTCAAGGAATGCTTGAAGCCTGGGGGCCAGGTTGCCTGCTCTAGACAAAGTCTGTGGCCCAGAGTGAGAACTTCATTGATGACAATTCCACTAATCAGATGGTGCTTTTTGGAGGCCCATCCATGGCTGTCCGTGGATCAATCAGCATGCACTTTCTCCTTTCTCAGCCCATAAAAACCCCAGACTCAGACAGACATGGGGACTACCAGCTGTGGTAAGGAGCTGCCCACTTTGGATCTCGTGAACTCGTTGCGATGACCTGCCTTTGGAAAGGAGCTATCCACTATGGGTCTCCTACCCTCTGACAGTTGGATACTTGTAGGGATGACCTGCCTTTGGAAAGGAGCTACTCACTTCAGGTCTCCTGAGAGCTGTTCTGTTGCTCAGTGAAGCTCCTATCTGCTTTGCTCACCCTCCAGTTTTCTCTGTACCTCATTCTTCCTGGACACTGGACAAGAACTCTCAACCCACCAAATAGCAGAACTGAAAGAGATATAACACAAACAGGGCTGAAACACATCCCTGCCTTCCCACATTGTGGATGATGAGGAGAGAAGGGTCACAGCCCTTCAGGGATCCCAGACCTAGGGGCTCCATGAAGTAGGGCTGTAACACCCTCCTTGGGGCTCTGAAGTTTTTAGCATCTCTGAGTGTTCAGGAGCCATGGTGATCCCCTTGTCCAGACACTGGTGCCCACAGCAGAAGCTGCCTGTGGTATGTCTGGTCTGGCTGCAGCCTCGCACAGAGCTGGTACTGGTGCCAGTTCCTGGAGCTGACTGCCGTGCCACAGCAGCTTGCATGCCTGGCTATGTGCAGTGACTGGACCTCGTACTTGCTTGCTCACACACCTCTCACAACTCCATGCCTGGTTTGCCCTTGGTAGACATGGGATCTGGGTCAGTAGTGTGAGCCGAGTGCAGACTGATGGGCTGAGTGGGAGGAATGAGCCCAGTGGGCATGAGCAATACTGAGGCAGGAGGCACCACCAGCCCCAGAGGTTTCTGGCTGGTGAAGCAACACCCTAAGTATCACGTGACACTAATATATTATTATTTGTAATAATGTTAAAATTTTATTTACTATAATTAATGTAGCATTAATGAGGCTTCAAGGTTAAGCAAACTGGAATTGTTAGTTCATACAATAATTTAAATAACTTCAGATTTCATTAAGTTCAATGTTTGGATTTATTTTAGTAAACATGATGATATATCATGCATGTCCTAAACTAAGCTTCAGACTAAGAAGGCTAAAGACACAATGGAGAAGATATAAATTCCTCCTGCTAGTGTCCTCACATTCAACTCCTACTCAGTTGTCTATACTCTTTGCTACCATATTCACCATATGTTTACCACAGTATAGCTTTCCCACCTGAGTTTACTATTTATGTAATCATGACTTCAGGGCATCACATTCTAATAGGGAAAGTATTCCTGAGATTTTGTACTTCAGCTCTCCTTTAGAAAAATGGAAAGAATCTATTTTCTTGCACAGGTTTTTGATTCTCTCATCTGTCTGTGGGTTCGTTGGTAAATAATATTGCTAATCAGTCATGTATAGTGTCTTTTTTTTCCATCCAAGAAATTACTTACAGAGACATAAAGAAATAAAGTATGTGAAAAGTTAATGCACAAATATAAGGACACTTGAGAATATTCACCAGAATTGCACATTCCTACTTTATGGGCAAGTGTGTTACCACTTAGAGCCATGTCTATTAACAAGGAGGATGGATTCTTGTTGATCCCATGTGAAAATATGGTAATTATCATGGGAATAACAAAATTTGATCAGAGTATCTGAATTGTGGAGTTGTTAAGCAGGGAGAAAAATACATCATTTTGAAATATTTTGCTTTTATTTCCAAAAGTTTAAGCTACCAGATTACTATGAGTTTTAATAATTTAGGAGAAAAGACAAAGTTTTATACTCTGAAAATACAACATTAGAACATTGACAATATCCAAGCAAAAATGATCTTCCTTCATTTGTTTATGTCCTATGTAATTAATTTTTGCCCTGCTCCATTCTGGGTTAGCAGTCTCATAAACTCATCTGTTTCTTGGCTAAAGTTTGGAAATTCTGACTCAGTCCACTCATATGGTATCTAAGTTGTTTAAATACTGCCATTCAATATCTCTATCCAGAGGTTACCTGACACAGCTTTTTCCATGGGAATCTGAGACAGTCCTTTGTTGAAGAGGAAGTACTTTGTAAGTGCTTTCAGGAATACATCAAAGTAAAATCAAAAGCTCTTTGTACATGACAAAAGACATAAAGTAGCTGTGATTAACTTACTATAGAAAAATTTCAAAAGTGAAAGATTGATGAGAATTCATAACAAGTGTAGTATAACTGACCAAAAATTTTGTTCTTTTGGTCACATACAAAACAAAATAAAAGTCAATCAAAAATTCTGTTAATATAATAACACTATTTTCAAAGATTAGTGGATATTATATCTATTATCTAAAACTAGAGGCACACAATCTTTACCAAAAGAATATTCAGATAAAATCCATAATCCTGAGACCTAATTAACCATGGATATAATACCAAGAACAAATTCAGAATATACCAAGGATATAACGTTATACCTACAGTTAACAATATTATATAGTACACTTAAAAATCTCTTAAGAAGATTGATCTTATGTCGTGTTCTTACTACAATAAAATAAAAATAGCAGTTAAAAAGGAATACTAAGTAAAGATACTTAGTTTGGAGTAGGTACAAAATATCTGTATTAATAAACTCCATCAACAAGTGATGTGAATCCACAAATAAAAATCACTTACTTAGGTGTTAGATTCAAATGTAAAAAATAAAGTGGGTCTTAGTGTTACAAAAGATCATGAGATCTATGGAGATAAAAAGAAGAGCTATATTTTCTATAAAAAAATCTGACAATTCAGGAGATGCAGCCTCAGTGTAAAAGGAAATTTCCCTTGATTGGGGATTGGAGATTTAAAGACTATAAAGGCAAAATCCACAGGACAGGCAACAGAGTTAGGGATTGAGGAACAGAGCCTTCTTCAGGTGACCTTTAAGCTCAAAATCACCAGTCTCTTTGATTGGCTGGTTCTAGGTGGTCTGTTGGTGGTCAGTTGGGGAATTTTCACCTGCAGTTTATCTCAGCACTGACAACAAAAACTAGTTTGGCTTGATTGTAGAAAAAGAGGTCCCATTACACTTTTACAGTTTCTTTCCAAGAACAAAGTGTAGTGACTACTCCCTCACCAGCCATGGCTACTTGATTCTGTTTCAATTTTAAACACCTCAGTGAGCCAGGAGGAGTCCATTTTGTTTGTCAGCCGGGGGCACACTTTAACAAAGTTAACATACAAAATCTCTGAAATTATGACTAATAATATGTACAGTTTTTGTCTAATATCAGTCAATGTAGTGCCAAGGCTGATAAATATAAAAATTTGAACTGTGAGGGCATTGCTGATTTTTTTAGGAACTTCCCAAATGCCATAAAACTTCTCAAATATTTACATTAATAATAGTTTTCCATACAAATTCAACCTGCAGAAGGGTCAGTATCTCTTCTGATTTAAGAACTCTTCTCATGAAACGAATCCAAAATTATGTATGAAATAAACCTAATCATTTCTAGCACTTTTTGCAAGGTGACAGAACACATTATTTGTAATTTTCCAGGGTTCGCTGGGAAATATTAAAGACAACTTTAGGTCCAAAAGATAAAACTAGTATTCAATATTGAGAGGGCAAAATATCAAATGTTGTTAAAATATATGAACACTTAATTAAGATAGGATCACAAATTTTAAGAAAAAATACTTGGCTGGCTTTCAATCCAAAGTGAAAATAAAATACTTTTAAAAGTAAACAGTGGAAGTGATATGATTGTAAAGCACCTTAGCTACCTCCTAAGTCAGACACCTTTGTTATAGTCAAGAGCATACTACAATCAACATAAACCATGGAAGTTTGTTCTGGTAAAACATAAAATCTCTGTTCCCAAGTAAGACACCTTTGTTTTTTTTTTTTAAATAGTCAAGGACATAATACAATCAATATAAACCATGGAAGGATGTTCTGGTAAAACATAAAATCACTGTTATCTATTCAGATTACACAGAAAGTAAAGAAAAATCTTTCACAATCTTCTATTAAAAGCAAACCAATAATTCAAGAAAATGTCCTTTTAAGAAAGAGAAAGCCAAAGTTAAACTTTGCATCATCACAATACAGTCATGCATCACTTAATGATGGGGACACATTCTGAGAAATGTGTCCTTAGTTTATTTTGTTATTGTTTGAACCTCATGGAGTGTATTTACATAAACATAGATGATATAGCTCACTACACACCCAGGCTATATAGTATAGCATATTGTTTCTAGGCTACAAACCTGTACAACATGTTACTGTACTGAATACTATCAGTCATTGTAATAAAATTGTAAGTATTTGTATACTAAACATATCTACACATAGAAAAGGTACAGTAAAAGTATAGTATTACAATATTATAAGATCATTGTCATATATGTGGTTATGTTGTTTACCGAAATGTACGAAAGGCATAACTATATTTGACACTGAAATCTGTTTGAGAATCTTATAAATAAACCTATCAATCCATAGCCAGTTTGGCCTTGGCAAAAATTCCATTTCCATTAGTTCTATAATTTTCTATACAAGTAGGTTTTGTCCTGAATTTTCCTCTTTCTCATTTGCAACCACCAATACCTTTTACTTGGTACAAAACTACTATATTTTTCCTTAACAAAAAATGCATACCATGTACTTCACACATAAAGTTGGACTGCTGTCAGTATTACTCCTAGCAGTGTCTCATGACAATTTCTTTATTGTGTGGGAAATTTAAAAGTATTTTAGATATATTCAAATTATGTAACTGGCATTTATCTCTAAGCCAAACAGAACAGAGCCATTTTAGAATATTTTGTAGTCAAATTTGGTAACAGCATCCAGAGATAGGAAAATATTACACACCCTCAAAACACAAGCATACATAGACACAGATAAGGAGATAACAGCTTCAATTATAAATATCTACCATGGGCCAAGCACACACACAGAAATACAAAACTCAAAACTCAATAGTTTATATCAAGGGGCTTTTCTTTTCCCATTAAGTACAACTTGTTAATTGACCTGAGCTCACAATAGGCAAATAGAAAACAAACAAACAAACAAACAAACAAAAACTAGATATCTGTGTTGTCTTTCACCCAAAAAGACAAGTTATTTATAAACCATCTGTTTAAAGAGATCAACAAGTGATCAAGCCATAAAACTGAAATAAGCTGGCACCAGAAATAATTTTTTTTTTTATTTCTTGTCATATCCTTTCTGTCTTTTTGAGAACTCATAAGTATCAAAGTCAATGAGTGCTATTGTCGACCAGTGTTGCTGTTGTACAGGAGTCTGGAACACAGGGTCAGGAGCTGTCCTCTGAGTTCTTCATCTGGAGCACAATGGAAACTTAGAGGCCTTGCTAACTAGATAGAGAACATAGGGCTTTAAGGGTTAGATCCAATTCTGTCCAAGTCATGGCACCAAACTGTCAAAGACAAAATTGCACCCATTAAAAAGATGGTTTTATTGAAGCTAATGCAATAGTGAGAACATTTATTAATGAGGAAATGTCTCATACAAGAAAAGTGACCTGGGATTTGTAGAGGCAGGTAAACAAAGAAATCATCTGGGGAAAGATGGAGAAAGCACTTATTTCAGGATATCGTGGATAAGGTTGTCCTTTGTAGATAGTTGCATCTCTAGAACACAAAAGGATAGAGGAGAGCACATTGGAAAACTAACCTTTGTTATGACTTCTTTACTGTCATCTCAAGGCACAGACTGTCTTCTCTCTGTGCTCCCAGATGACTCCCACTGTCTTCAGGGAGCACAGAGCTTAATCAATGTACAACATTATCACCACAGTGAAAAACAATCAGACAGTTTCTTACACAATTAATAATTTACTTGTAAGACCTAGCAATTATGCACTTAGATATTAATACTAATTGATTTAAAAGTGTTTTGTGAATATTTATAAGCGCTTTATTTTTAGTAGCCTTCAACCAGTGCAATACGTAAATTGTGGTAGATATGTAAATTTTGGTAGATCCGTATAAGAGAATACTACTCAAAAATAAATGAGAAAATATTGATGTATGCAACAAAGAGGTATTAATCTAAAAAATATTATATTGGAAGAAAAAAATTAGGAAAAATAAGTTTACTATATAATTTCCTTTCTGTGAAGGTCTGGATAAACAAATATAATCAAGAGAGAAAAAAAGAGATGGGTGGTTTTCTGAGGGAGAATTAAGAGGCTTAACTGCAAAAATGTACAAGGGAAATTTCTGGCATGATAGAATTGACTAGGGTGTTGATTACAAAAGTATAATATTTATTAAATGTCATAAAATTACAGGTTTAAAATATATTTCTTTTTTTTTTTTTCTGAGACCGAGTCCGCTCTGTTGGCTCTGTTGCCCAGGCTGGAGTGCAGTGGTGCTATCTCGGCTCACTGCAACCTTCGCCTCCCGTATTCAAGCAATTCTCCTGCCTCAGCCTCCTGAGTAGCTGGGATTACAGGTGCACCCTACCATACCCAGCCAATTTTTGTATTTTTAGTAGAGACGGGGTTTCACCATGTTGGCCAAGCTGATCTTGAACTCCTGACCTCAAGTGATAGCCCCTCCTTGGCCTCCCAAAGTACTGGGATTATAGGCGTGAGCCACTATGCCCAGCCTAAAATATGTTTATTTTCTTTGAAAATTATACCCCACTAATATTGATTAAAATGTATTTGAAAAAGTTATCACGTTTTATTGTATTTTAAAACACTTGAAAGAACTGAAGAGGAGTGTTTTGATATTAAATAGTAACAGAAATAAATCATTTTCATGTTCATTTTCCTACAACCATCATTTTGTCTTTTATGCACTTTTATTATTTAATAAATATTAATATATAGTATAGTGGAACGTTGAAGGGACCATATGCAGAATGGTTAAAAACAAGGCTTTACAGTTAAGATTGCCAACTTTCAACGCTTATTTTCATCTCTAACTAGGTGTAATACTTCAGGCAAATCTCTAAAGTTCTTTGTAAATGAAAATGATAGCAGTAGAGTCTATCATATATTGTTAAGATTAAATGTTTTAATATGTGAAAAGCACATACTTATGTACCCATCAAACACTAAGTTACATTTGTATTAGACAGATTTCTGGTTTTTATGTTTATGTTTTATTTTTTGAAAATTTTTAGATTTTCAAAAATTTGTTTTATTTTTTGAAAATATTTAGATCTTTATTTTGAAATAATTTTAAACTTACAGAAATGTTAAAAGATAAAACAAAGAACTCCTAATACCCTTCACATGATTATTCTATTTACTCTTGTAAATTTATATCATTTGCTTTTTTTTTGAACTCTCTATCTCAAACTCTCTCTGTCTCTTAATCTCTCAATTTTTGTCTTTCTCATATGTATTTATGTATAGCATATATGTGTGTGTAGATACATATGTCCTTTATTTTTAACTAATAAAAATATTGTATTATTAGAGGTTAATTTCTTTACTTAAGTACTTACAAAGAGAAAACCAGATGGTATTATTTTCTCTATTTCCTGAATGTTCCATCCACAAGTTTCATTTTGTCTAATTTTGGAAATGCATAAACTATACAAAGTGATCTAATAAAAAGTTAATTTGACGATGAGTTGTAAACCTTGTTACCAAACTGTAATTTATTTATCTTCCTTTTTATTATTTCCACTTTTGTTTCAGATTCAAGGTGAATATGTGCAGGTTTGTTACATGGGTATATTGCCTGATGCTGAAGTTTGGGGTACTTATGATCCCAACACCCAGGTGGTAAGCATAGTATCCAACAGGTCGTTTTCAGCCCTTGTCCTCACCTTCTTAACCCTGTCTATTAGTCCCTAGTTTCTATTGTTCCTATCTTTATGTCCATATGTTTAGCTCCTACTTATAAGTGAGAAAATGTAGTATTTGGTTTTCTGTTCCTGCATCCATGTTGCTGCAAAGCATATGATTCATTTTTTATGGCTGCATACTATTCTATAGTATATCACCTACCAAAATCATTTTACACAGAATTAGAAAAAAAACTATTATAAAATTCATATGGAACCAAAAAAGAGTGTAACACAATCCTAAGCAAAAAAAAAAAAAAAAAAAAAAAAAAATTGAGGCATCGCAATACTCAACTTCAAAGTATGCTACAATAACCAAACATCATTATACTGGTACAAAAACAGACACGTAGACCAATGAAACAGAACAGAGAACCCAGAAATAAAGCTGTACATCTACAACCATTTGCTTTTTGACAAAGTCAGTAAAAATAAACAATGAGGAAAGGACTTCCTATTTAATGAATGGTGCTGGATAACTGGTTATTTATATGCAGAAGAATGAAACTAGACAACTACATTGTACCATATTAAAAAAAATTAACTCAAAGTGGAGTAAAGATCTAAATGTAATACTTCAGAGTATAAAAATCTTAGAAGAAAAATCTAGGGAATATAGCATTTTGGACATTGGCCTTACAAAGAATTTACGACTAAATCCTCAAAAGCAATTGCAACAAAAACAAAAATTGACAAGTGGGATCTAATTAAAGAGCTTCTGCACAGCAAAGAAAGCTATCAACAGAGTAAACAGACAACTCACAGAATGGGAGAAAACATTTGCAAATTATGCATCCCACAAAGGTCTAATATCCAGATTCTATGAGGAATGACATAACAATAGAAAAACAAATAATGCCATTAAGAAGTGGGCAAAGGATATGAACAGGCACTTCTCAAAAGAAGACATACATGTGGCCAACACACATATGAAAGTATGCTCAACATCACTAATCATGAGAGAAATGCAAAGTAAATCTGCAATGAGATACCATATCACACCAGTCAGAATGCATATTATTAAAAAGACTATAACAGAGAAAAGAGAAAACCCTTATACTGTTGGTGGGAATGCAAATTAGTTTCAACCACTGTGTAAAGCAGTTTGGAGATTTCTCAGAGAATTAAAGTTGAACTACCATTTGACCCAGCAATTCATTTACTGGGTTTATACTCAAAGAACAGAAATAATTCTACAGAAAAAACACATGCATTCTTATGTTCATCAGAGCACTATTCACAACAGCAACAACATGGAGTCATCCGAGGTGCACATCTTTTTTATTATTGGAATTGGTTAAAAAGACTGTAGCACTGCTTTAAATATTAAATATTAGAGCTATATGTTTTTTAAAAGTACAGATTCCATAAGCATGTTGTAAATCCTAGAACAACTGCAAGCAGACAGATTTCTCTCTCACTTTCTCTGTCTCTATATGTGTGTGTGTGTGTGTTTATAGTATATATACATTTATTCTATTAATATTTCACTAATGTATATAGGAGAAAATAAAGCTAACATTATGTGTGATATTGACTTAAGTTTTACTGTCTAATGAATATAAAATAATTGTATTGATTTTGAATCCTATAAGACATTTAATATATAAGATTAAGGATAAATCCATGAAAGAGATTAAACAGAAGCAAGAGGCATGTAGAAAATGAAAATAAAAATGGCACCAAGAGGAAAAAGAATGTCAAATTTCATGAAAAGTGTATGTTGTGCATTTTACACATAGCAGAGATTTCACTATTTATAGAATTGGGCAGTGAAATCACTGGTTGCCATGGAGAAGATATTAATGTAATGGTGGATCAAGAAGCCAAATTGCTTTAGCTCTAAATGTGAATGAGAGACTGAATGGGAAGTGAAGCCATCTTTTAAAGAAGAAATGGAAGCTGTGTAACTAGAGAGCTCTTGGCTATATAAGGATAAGAGCTAGAATGTAGACAATTGAGCATATTTATACACTCGATGGAACAACTCAATAAAATGCATAAAATTAAGAGCACAAGAGAAAGGGGTAAATGAGCACTTAAGCTGGTTGTTAGATCAAAATGGGAAGAGTTAACACTGGATCAGAGAATGACAATTTATTAGAGAAGGTATAAATAAATAAATTGTGAAGGCAAAATTGTTTCATGTCTCTGTCTGTATGTCTTGTAGCGTATGTAGGGAGAAATGTTCTATCACCTGTTTTCTGTGAGATCATTTGGTTTCAATATTTTAACTAAAAAGCTAAAAAATAAAGAGAACTACATTTCTTTTGTGTTTATTGCAAGCAATGACTTATTTAACACTATAAACTCTTTATGTAATTTTTAATCACAAATGTCTAATTCAATGGATTTAAAGAGTTTTTGAATCTCTACATTTTTAAAGCTATGGGTAACATTGTTGTGGTCTCAAGAAACATTAACCTGGTAATGATCATAAAGAAATAGATATTATTAATGTCAGATTGAGACTAAAGCAAGGGGTGGTCACAGCTCCATTTTGGAAAATCATTCCTAATAAGAATTAAGAGATTTTATGGAAATACATTATACTGTTAAAGACAGGTAGGATGTCAAAAAGGGTCTTGGGAAGACAATGCATTCCAAGAATCCATTCCAAGAATGCAGTCTCCAACAATGTGGAGGCGGAAAACATAGGGATATAAGAATAAGGATAGAAAGGCAACAGGCTAAACTTGATATGAACCCCACCAGTGATATAATTAAAAAAAAGTACTCAACTTTTTTGAGCTTCAAGTTTCCTCTCTAGAGACAAAGTTACAATACCTATTATGTGTGTGTGTGTGTACACACACTACAAGATATTAAATACAAGGAACTCAACACAGTCCCTGAAATATTGTCTAGAACAGGAAACAAAAATAGAGAAAAGTTTAGGTATTAAGTCTGGATTATTGCACTACAGAATAAATGCTGATTTGGGGAAAGAATTGGAAATTTGTGTGTAGAAACAGACATAATTGAATAGGCTCTTGGGAAAGACTAAATGAGCAGTAAAACCATCAGCTTTCTTTTCTACTCAGATAATTAGTCATTAGAATAAAATTATCTATATTAATGTTAGAATATATTACTTTCTACTTTATTCAACAGTAAGTCTGGCAGACTATCAGTTGCTGTCTTATGCCAAAGAATTCCTTGAAATTGTTATATATTGGTGTGGCATAGGATCAAGATGGACTATACTCAAATAGCACAACTGTATTGATTGGGAAGTGATGCTCATTGATGGGGAAGTTTTTTGGTCAGGGGAATGCATTCAATGTCTTCTTTACTTATAATTGTCTCTGAAATGTCAGATTATGTTGTGTTTCAACTGACAAGAATGCAGAACATCTAAATGCTTTTGAAGCTATTATTTTACATATTCTATTATTACAAATATTACTATATTTACCAGTAACAGACAAAATTTATATACTGTCAACTTCATTTTTTAAATTTAATTTATAATTGAATATGATATGTGTCAAAATTTTTGGTAGCATCAACACTTCTATAAGATTATTTTTATGTATTCTTTCTTGTATAGTTAGTACTAGAACATTTTTTTTTAGAATTAGTTCCCTAAACCTTTAAGAATTAATATTTTTTCACTCCCCCTTATTTCATTTCAGTTTTTACTTCTTGCATCCAATTTTAGCTTATAATAATAATCATGCATAACAAAGAAGTCAAGAGTGTAGACAGATGGAACTTCAGTATGTGAGAAATACATTATGGGTAACATATCACATCTCACAACACTCATGATCAGCTGGCTTTTACTTTAAAAAGTCTTCAAGAGTATTTATCTGTTTCCCAAACTTTCAACAGCATACATATGACAAAACAGAATGTTTATTCATTCTTGACTCCACAAAAGGATATTTTTATTGAGGCAAATACATTTATTAAGAAAAACCTTTGGCCATTTTGGAGGGATTTTGGGGCGTGGTGTGACTAGGGGTGCTCAGCTAGGCTAGGCTTGGTGGGAAGGTGTGTGCTGAGGTCACGCTTTCTGTGGCTGCCATGTTGGGAAGCCGCATGACTCGTGGACAGGCGGGGAAAAAGAATTGTCACATCTATGTGGATAACTTACCTTCAGGTATCCCAACCAAGGACACTGAGGACGTGATCTATAAATATGGGCACTATCTGTGACACGGACCTCAAGAATCCCATGGACCTCCCTTGGCCTTTGTTGAGTTTGAACAGCCACGATGAGGAAGATGCAGTGTATGGTCTCCATAGCTGTGATTATGACAGATGCCTTATGCTGGTGGAGTCTCCTACAAACGGCCTTGGCACAGGCCAAGGAGGCAGCGGAACTCCCCAAGGTTTCCATGGCTCCCCTACCCAGGTGGTCTGAAAACAGAGTGGTTGTCTCTGGGCTGCCTCCAGGTGGAAGCTGGCAGGAGTTAAAAGATCACATGCATGAAGCAGGTGGTGTATGCCATGCTGAGGTTTACCAAGATGGCATGGTGTCATGAAGGATGTAGAGAAAGAAGATATTACCTTTGTGGCTGGGAAGCTGGATAATACCAAGTTTAGATCATTACATTGCTCATTTTGTAACTATTTTGCTTCCTCCCAAACATCTTTTGTCTTAATAAGAACTAATGTGGGAAGAACTGACTAATTTGTCACAGTGCTTAGTTACAACTGGTAATGTGTGACCTGCTGGTAGTGTACATGTAGGTATAGAGTATCTTTAAATCTAAGATAGAGGATAATATCAATATTGCTAAATCTGCATATCCTCTCTGTGACTGTTAGAGCATTGCTATTTTATTTTCTTAAGAAAAAATGAAGCAAAATGGAAAGTTCCAATGTATTGGTGTACATAATCCAGTTGGGAATACTTTAAATCTCACCTTCTACTTTAAACTAATTTTTCATAATTGGCTCATATATTTAAAACACTTTAATTTACAAATTAAATTGCAAATGAGAGCATTGAATTTAGTTTAGACTTAGGTGGGTAGCAATACCAGTAAGCTTTTAAACGACATAAATTTTTCAACCACAAACCCTGTAATATGCTGTAGAGTAAGTGTTGGCACTATCAGTTGAACTGTAAATATCAAATGCTTCTTTCAATTAGTCTCTATACTAACTAAGTTTCTAAAATTTATCTTCTGTGCACCTCTGCCTCCCGGGCTCAAGTGCTCTTCCCATCTCACTTCCCAGTAGCTGGGACTACTGGTGTGGGTCACTACATGCAGCTAATTTTTGTATTTTTTGTAGAGACAGGTTTTCATCATGTGGCCTAAAAATCCTGAGCTAAACTGATCTGCCTGCCTTGGCCTCCCAAAATGCTGGGATAACAGGTGTGAGCCACTGTGCCCTGCCATTTTGCAGAATTTGATAGTTATTGATACTCATCAGTTAAACTGAATACAGACTGTGGTGGTTAATACTGAGTGTCAACTTGATTGAACTGAGGTATGCAAAGCATTGATCCTGGGTGTGTCTGTGAGGGTGTTGCCAAAGGAGATTAACATTTGAGTCAGTGGGCTGGGAAAGGCAGACCCACCCTTAATCTCCATGGGCACCATATAATCAGCTGCCAGCACTGCTAGAATATAAAGCAGGCAGAAAAATTTGAAAAGACTAGACTGGCCTAGCCTCCCAGCCTACATCTTTATCCCATGCTGAACCCTTCCTGCCCTCAAACATCAGACTCCGTTCAGTTTAGGGACTCAAACTGGCTTCTCTTGCTTCTCAGGTGCAGATGGGCTATTGTGCGACCTTGTGATTATGTGAGTTAATACTTGATACTTGAAGGGGAGACCAGGTCCCCTTGAGGAAGAATCTCAATACACTACCAACAATTTATGCTTGTAATCTTTCTACCATCCTGCTCCAAGGAGACCTCTGGACTTTTACCAGGGTAACCGTGCACTGGGGAAAGGAAAATGATCAAGCATTTTGGGGATTACTTGACACTGGCTCTGAGCTTGTGTTGATTGCAGGGGACCCAAAACGTCACTGTGGTCCTCCAGTTAAAGTACGGGCTTATGGAGGTCAGATAATTACTGGAATTTAACTCAGGTCTGACTTGCAGTGGGTCCAGGGGTCCCTAGACTCATCCTGTAGTCATTTCCCCAGTACCAGAATGCATAATGGTCATATACATATTTAGCAGCTGGCAGAACCCCCACATTGGCTCCCTGACTGGTGGTGAGGGCTATTATGGTGGAAAAGTCTAAATGGGAGCCAGTAAAGCTGCCTCTACCTAGAAAAATAGTAAATCAAAAACAATATTGCATCCCTGGAGGGACTGCAGAGATTAGAACCCTGACTAATACACAGAGATAACTCATTCCTCAGAAATCTTTTGTGATTACAGTATTTAACATTTTGCCTCCTCTTTTTTGCTTTAGCTGGTTATAAAGGTTTGGATTGGAGAGGGCTCACTAGATCCCAATCCTTGGAGCTGGATCTTTGGATTCAAATCATAATGTGGATAGGACAGGGAGAATCAATTTAGTTGGGACAGGAATCCACTACTATGTTCCTGATAACCTGATACTGCTCCGTTAATCCTCGTGGGTTGATACTTGAAAGATATATTAATCCTCATGGAGCAGGATCAGATTACCAGGAACATAGGAGTGGATTCCTGTCCAAACCAAATTGCATTCCTTTGGATTTTTAAATTTAACTTAATTGGCTATTCTAAAGAGTCCCCCTCACCCAATGTTTGATCATTGGAGCCCTTAAGATGCAAAATGAAATTGTGTTTTGCATTTTTTGGTAACAGGACTAAAGGAAGGACCTGGAAATGTATGCTGGAGCATTCTTCTTGGAAGGATTCAGCAAAAGCAGGTGGCAAAGATGTAAAGGGGAAGGGAGAGGGATTCTTTAAAATAGTAAATCACTAAGTTACTTCTAAATTTAAGGAAAATGAAATTGGCTGGGCACGGTGGCTCATGCCTGTAATCCCAGCACTTTGGGAGGCTGAGGCGGGTGGATCACTTGAGGTCAGGAGTTCAAGACCAGCCTGACCAACACGGAGAAACTCCATCTCTACTTAAAAAAAAAAAATACAAAAATTAACTGGGTGTGGTGGTGTGCTCCTGTAATCTCAGCTACTTGGGAGGCTGAGACAGTAGAATAGCTTGAACCTGGGAAGCAGAGGTTGCAGTGAGCAAAGATCGTGCCACTGCAGTCTAGCCTGGGCAACAGAGCGAGACTCTGTCTCAAAAAAAAAAAAAAAAAGAAAAAGAAAAAAAAGAGAAAAGAAAACAAAATGAAATTGGAGTTGAGGAATAGGTAAGTTTTTTCTTTGAATAAAATAAACATTTTTTAAACAACAAAACTTAATAACTTTCTATTTAAATTATTAGTTGTGCTCAGCAGAGGACAAAATGTTATTTATTTATGGCTTGCAACTATCTTCCCTAACAAGAAGTTCTATGGTATACTTGTTCTCCAGGATAATTGCAGCTTTGACATGGCAGAATTAGGATGCTGGTTTCCTTCCTGCTTCAAACACATCTATCAGTCTGCTCCTAGCAGCTAATTATAAATGCAACTCACAAGTTACAAGTCTGTTTAAACTCCTGTTTGAATCTTTAAAATGAATTTGAATGAGAAAGGTTTTATTAAAACAATTGAAGAACCAGTTAACTATTACATTCAGAAAGTCCAAAATCTCTGAAGAGCTATTTAATCCTCACTGTATTTAATCTAAATATGATGAAGTAACTTGTGACTCCCATTACTACGTGTTAAAATGAAGGAAAAACTGACTTGCTCTATCACAGGAATTTCTGTATATATGTTAACATTTTAGGGTCACATATACCAATTTTTGTTTTCCTACTGAAATGGGAAGAGTTTCCTTATCCCCCTCACAGGGCCTGTGACTAGGGGTATAGCTCCTTTCTTCAGTGCCCTACAGCTCAAACCTCTAGGGAGAGCATGCAGACAGGCAGGCTGTGAGGTGGATGGGCTCTGACCCCATGGCAGTGTCTAGGGGTGAATATTTACAGCTCCTGAAGCCCCAGTGGGCATGTGTTACAGTGTGCTCTCTTAGTTTTGCCATCTGAAGGCAGTTTGGTTAATCAGCTCAATTAGACCCTCTGCCTTATTTTAAGGACAGAGGGCTTTCTGTATCCTGGGGTTCTTGCCTTGGTGTACCGGAAAAATCGGATCACACGTGGGCTTGGAGAATGAGTGGAAGGTTTTATTGAGTAGTGGAAGTAGCTCTCAGCAGATAGGTGGGGAGCCAGAAAGAGGATGGAGTGGGAATGTGGTTTTCCTCTGGAGTCGGGTGCTCAGCGGCCAGACTCTCCTCTGACCACCCCGGCCAAATTCCCTGTGTCCACGTCGTTCTGCCAGTCGATGGCCTGCTGGCGTCTGCCAGTGCCTGTCAGTGTGCTCTTCCACTCCTCTACTTCTCTCAACATCCAGCCGCCTATGTGCTCTTCTGACAGTGTGTTCCTCTCAACGTCTGGTCGCTTGTGTTCTTGCCTGCCAGGGTCTCAGGGTTTTTATAGGCACAGAATGGGGGCATGGCAGGCCAGGGTGATCTTGGAAAATGAAACATTTGGGTGCAAAAAGGAGAGCTGTCCTCATCTAGGTCCGTAGGCATAGGCCCGAGGGTGGAGCCCTCCCCAAGGACCCTGCCTTCCTCTTTCCAGCACTTCCCTGCCCCTCCCCCAACTACCGCTTCACAGTGAAGTATTTCCAAGAATAACATAGAATAATTAAGACTCTACTTCTAGTTACAACTTACATGCAATAATATGGTTATAAACATGAATAAAATTTATTAAAAATTTAATTAGCATATATGACTGGAAATAGTTCAATCATGCAAACATGATAAATGACTGCTGATTATATTATATTTGGGGAATCTACTTGGAAGGATTTGATCACTACGTAATAGTTGCCACCAAGAGATTAATCACTGTTGTTGATCTGGAGTAATAAACAGGTCTGTCCTATATTTATTTTGATTATTAGTATGTTTAGCTCATGAAAAAATAAGTCTGAAGAAATGTGTTCATTAGTACCTTCACATTTTGTATGGTTTATTTCACGAGTAAATTATAGCTATTAGACTTATTAACACTGGATGATAGTCTAGGAATTTTTACTCTGAAGTCACATCAAAGGAGGTCAATTGGTATTGGGAAAAATAGTCATATGATCCTCAGAGGTTCAAGAGTTTACCATAGAATTAATTCAAAACAATTGATGTTCTTAGTGTACTCTATAAGCTGTCATAAGTTTTTCTAGGCTTCTCATTCACTATTTGACAATGCAGAGGATAAAACATATCAGATGGAGTTACAATTATTTTTAAAGATTTCATACTCTGTGATGTTTATCCTCAACTTTGAAGAAAATCTCTTGATCAAAACTGACATTCTCTCTAAGGAGTACAACTATTTGTGATTACTGTATGTAATTGCTACAATATTTTCATTAACTTGTTCATACTTTCCATTTATCTCCAATAATGTCTGTAAATATTAGTTTCAATTCTTCACATTATGGTTATATTTTATTTAGCTCTATACTTTCCAATGCAAGTCTCTCACATAATACTTCAAATTTGGTACGGATCACCAAATATTCTAGTTATTTTCTCAACATAAAGCACTACAACAAACAAACAAAAATTTATTTTGATAGTCTGTAGGTTAGTAGAGTAGCTAAAAAAAGATAGAATATGAAATGAAAAAAGTACTAAATAACTTTCTTGTTACAATATCATAAGATGATTCAAATATAGTAGAATAAAATATGCAAACTAGTTTGTGCATTTGACTTATTTAAAATAGTGTAATTAAAGGGTCATCTGATTATCCTTGTATTCATGTTTTTGTCTGTGGTGATTCATTTTTTTTCTCACTCCCCAAGAAAACTGTATGTGTCTTGTATTTGTGATTTTCAATGCCATATACTTCATTCCATATGGAATAAATCAATATATATTTATCAAACAGTTACACTACACCAGCAAGTTTTAATGTTCTGAATATAGATGAACTCTTTGGGGAATTAGTCACTGAAATTTCAATATATACAATATTATGTCTGGTTTCATGACATTCATATTTCTAACATTTGACTTACAAAAGTATATGTTTAAGCATATGAATAAATTAAAGCACTACAGAAGAAAATATCAATCTATAGGAAATTACTATACATAAAGGATTTTTACTGAAAAGTTTTCTCACTTAGAAAAAAATAAACACAGAAATGTTTGTATTTTGAAGCTTATATTACTAGAAGATTAAGATCTCTAAAATACATTTTTTATTTTGCTGTACTTTTGAGGAATGACTGTCTTTATTAAATACATACATTAAAGGTTAGGCTTGTTTTTCTTTCTTCTTCTTCTTTTTTTTTCCTATTGGAAAACAGGAAATTTGAGGGAATGGAAATTTGTATCTTATCATATGGAATTCCCTCCTTCCCTTTATTGTTTTCTTTCTTCCCTTCTTCTCTCCTTTCCTTTATCATTGGTATATTGTTCTTTTTCATTAATGCAATCAAAGAATTTACATTGCATTATTTCTATATGCCAGATACCATGCCAGCCATCAGAAAACAGTGACAAAAAGACATATGGTTATTAGATATCACTGCTAATAAAGAGAATCCCCATGAGAATATTTTCAAATTAATAAATAGTTTAGGTTATGTTACAAAAGTATACATTAGGGATTATTAGTAAATAAAAATATTTTATGGATGAAATATTTTATTCAAGCCCAAGAAACAACTTTAATAATAGCCTGAGTCTGGATATTATTAATTAAAGCAAACAAGTAACATGTGTGTTGTTAGTATTATACACCGTTAATGAATTTGTCAATTCTACCTTCCTACTGCCTTTGTAATATATAGTGAATGCCGTTAGGATCACACATCAGCTCTTCTAAAAGAATGTCCTAATGTACCAAGGTGGTGGCCAACTATGATAGAGGTTTTGGTCACTGAAATGTCTTGGAAATAGTCTGTCAGCAGCTGAGCTTTCATTTACGACAAAATCTGTCAAGAAAAATAACCTTGCTGCATATTTATATTTTTCAAAGGAAATATCAGAGAACTACTTTCAATTTTATCCAAAGAAATTGGACTAGCCAAATAAGATGAAGTCTTAACTGAATCATTTTGGCAGCGAATAAATCAAAGTTTAGAGGTAATTGTTAAGTGTTTTCAGCTGCTAAAATGCCTCTATGTTTTTATACAAGGAGGGCAAGCTGCTATTCAGTCTTTCTGTAGTACAACAGGCTATTAACTATTAAGATGCTCCTAGGATTTTGTAGAAAAAAAATCACTGAAAAAAATTAAATTATCAAAGTTTTCTTGTATGCAGGGGTTTAACTACATATCCAGTTTAGTTATATACATGTATATATGTATAATTTAAATATATGTTAAAGGATTTAGTAAATTTGGCGCTAAATGCACCAGTAAATACAGGTGGTAGGTTTAATTGGAAGTCTATAAGATATTCAGAGAAAAAGAAATCCTTTGGGAAAATCCTTAATTTTTGTAATTTTTTGAAATTTTAGATATAAAGTTTAAAAAAGGAGCAGATATCAAGCAGAAACTATAATGAGTTTACTCAGAATTCTGGATATTTTCTGGGGCTACTTTTTCATTTATTTTAAAGAAATAGTCCAACCTTGGTATAATCATATTGTTCCTTGTTATTTATACTGTTCAGTTCTGCTTGGTGAAATGCACTTAAGAAACTGAAAAACTGTTGTTGCTGGTTTTTTTGTTTTTTGTTTTTTTGTTTTGTTTTTTTGTTTGTTTGTTTTTCCCTGCAGAATTCTTAAATTTCCTCATGATAGTCCATAATCATGTGTACTTGGTGTTTCTAGGTTAAGTAAGACTTTGGATACCATGCTTCAGAATTCTTAACTTTTCAAGCAACTTTTAAATATTTCTTCTGCTTGATTTGCTATATTATTTTATTATTTTTTCCAGGAGTTCTCTTTTCATTTCAGACCTCAGTGCTTTTAAAAATCATATAATCAACTTCTCAGGAGTATTTGGATATAATGTGGGAAGAGCAGTGGCAGCAGTTGGATCTGATTTGCTACCTCTTCCTAATCGTATACTAGAAACTTAAGTACTTTGCTCCTCACTAATTTAGGGGATTCATAGTTGATCTCTGGAGCCTAAAATTATGTAATCCATTCATTTGTGATAAGTAATGGATTATGATTTGTACGTGAGAAACGTACCTACCATGTTTACCGTAATTACAGTCATATTTTACCTCGGTGTTATTGTGAGACTCAGTGGAGCTATATTAGATGGAAAACTATAGCAAATAAATTCACTCACAACTTAGGTTGGTTAAAATAGAGATCTGTGAAAATTGCTGGTTACTTTTCTTTGCTTACCATGTGTATCAATATCTAATTCTAATAAGCACCACCACCATTATTTTCAGCCTGGTTTTATTAATCTACATAGAGATGTCTGTAGAGAAGTTATTTATCTCAGGACATTACTAATAACAAAGATACATTTTTTTTTGAAAATAAATGAATGCATAAACTATACTGAAACTAGAAGGAATATACTCATTATACCAAAAATGATATCTAATAGGTTTATATGTAAGTCTCCACTAGGCTTATTAAGAAAACAGTGAGAAAAATTAACAAGTCAGGTTAAGGGATTATTTATCAAAAATGCTTCACAGTTTTATGTAAAAAGCAAAATAGTTCCAAGAATAAATATATGTGTGACATTTTTCATAAAATATACATCATAAATTATAATGCTTGCTAGAGCTGCAAAACGTAGATATGATTGGTAGATCATATAGAGTTATAACATGTACTGTATCCCCAAGACCTATCTAATCTTAGTAGAAAAGTATTCATCCCAAGGATGAAGCTGACCTGATCATGGAGGATAAGCTTTTTAATGTCCTGCTGGATTTGGTTTGCCAGTATTTTACTGAGGATTTCACATTGATGTTTATCAGGGATATAGGCCTGAAATTCTCTTTTTTTATTGTTTCTCTGCCAGGTTTTGGTATCAGGATAATGCTTGTCTCATAAAATGAGTTAGGGAGGAGTCCCTCTTTCTCAATTGTTTGGAATAGTTTCAGAAGGAATGGTACCAGCACCTCTTTGTACCTCTGATAGAATTCGGCTGTGAATCCGTCTGATACTGGGATTTTTTTGATTGGTAGGCTATCAATTACTGCCTCAATTTCAGAATTTGTTATTCTATTCAGGGATTCAACTTCCTTGTTTAGTCTTCGGAGGGTTTATGTGTTCAGGAATTTATCCATTTCTTCTAGATTTTCCAGTTTATTTGCATAGAGGTGTTTATAGTATTCTCTGATGGTAGTTTGTATTTCTGTGGGATCAATGTTGATTTCATCTTTATCGCTTTTTATTGTGTCTATTTGATTCTTCTCTCTTTTCGTCTTTAAAGTCTGGTTAGCAGTCTATCTATTTCGTTAATCTTATCAAAAAACCAGCTCCTGGATTCATTGATTTTTTGAAGGGTTTTTCATGTTTCTATCCCTTTCAGTTCTGTTCTGATCTTAGTTATTTCTTGCCTTCTGCTAGATTTTGAATTTGTTTGCTCTTGCTTCTCTAGTTCTTTTAGTTGTGATGATAGGGTGTTGATTTTAGATCTTACCCGCTTTCTACTGTGGGCATTTAGTGCCATAAATTTCTCTCTAAACACTGCTTTAGCTGTGTCCCAGAGATTCAGGTTCGTTGTGTCTTTGTTCTCATTGGTTTCAAAGAACTTATTTATTTCTGCCTTAATTTAGTTATTTACCCAGTGTTCATTCAGGAGCAGGTTGTTCAGTTTCCATGTAGTTGTGAGATTTTTGAGTGAGTTTCTTAATCCTGCATTGTAATTTGATTGCGCTGTGTCTGAGAAACTATTTGCTATGGTTTCTGTTCTTTTGCATTTGCTGAGGAGTGTTTTATTTCCAATTATGCGGTCAATTTTAGAGTAAGTGCAATGTGGTGCTGAGAAGAATGCATATTCTGTTGATTTGGGGTGCAGAGTTCTGTAGATATCTATTAGGTCCGCTTGGTCCAGAGCTGAGTTCAAGTCCTGAATATCTTTGTTAATTTTCTGTCTTGTTGATCTGCCTAATATTGACAGTGGGATGTAAACGTCTCCCACCATTATTGTGTGGGAGTCTAGTCTCTTTGTAGGTCTCTAAGAACTTGCTTTATGAATCTGGGTGCTCCTGTATTGGGTGCATATATATTTAGAATAATTAGTTCTTCTTGTTGCATTGATCCCTTTAACATTATGTAATGCCCTTCTTTGTCCTTTTTGATCTTTGTTGGTTTAAAGTCTGTTTTATCAGAGACTAGGATTGCAACCCCTGCTTTTTGTTGTTGTTGTTTTCCATTTGCTTGGTGAATCTTCCTCCATCCCTTAATTTTGAGCCTATGAGCGTCTTTGCATGTGAGATGGGTCTCCTGCGTATAGTACACTGATGGGTCTTGATGCAAATTAATAAACGTAATAAATCACATAAACAGAACCAATGACAAATATTGGAAGTTCTGGCCGGGGCAATCAGGCAAGAGAAAGAAATAAAGCGTATTCAAATAGGAAGAGAAGAAGTCAAATTATCTATGTTTGCAGATGACATGATTGTATATTTAGAAAATCCCATCGTCTCAGCCCCAAAACCCCTTAGGCTGTTAAGCAACCAGCAAAGTCTCAGGATACAAAAATCAATGCGCAAAAATTACAAGCATTCCTATACACCAGTAATAGACAAACAGAGAGCCAAATCATGAGTGAACTCCCATTCACAATTGCTACGAAGAGAATAAAATACCTAGGAATACAACTTACAAGGGATGTGGAGGACCTCTTCAAGGAGAACTACAAACCACTGCTCAAGGAAGTAATAGAGTACACAAACAAATGGAAAAGCATTCTATGCTCACAGAAAGGAAGACTCAACATCATGGAAATGGTCATACTGCCCAAAGTAATTTATAGATTCAATGCTATTCCCATTAATCTACCATTGGCTTTCTTCACATAATTAGAAAACACTACTTTAAATTTTACATGGAACCAAAAAAAAAAAAAAAAAAACAGCCTGTATAGCCAAGACAATCTTAAGCAAAAAGAACAAAGGTGGAGGCATCACACTACCTGACTTCAAACTATACTACAAGGCTACAGTAACCAAAACAGCATGGTACTGGTACCAAAACCGATATATATATATAAAATATATATATACCAATGGAACAGAACAGAGGCCTCAGAAATAACACCACACATCTACAACCATCTGATCTTTGACAAACCAGACAAAAACAAGTAATGGGGAAAGGATTCCCTGTTTAATAAATGGTGTTGGGAAAACTGGCTAGCCATATGCAGTAAACTGAAACTGGACCCCTTTCTTACACTTTATACAAAAAATAACTCAAGATGGATTAAAGATTTAAACATACGACCTAAAACCATGAAAGCCCTAGAAGAAAACCTAGGCAATACCATTCAGGACATAGGCAAGGGCAAAGACTTCATGACTAAAACACCAAAAGCAATTGCAACAAAAGCCAAAATTGACAAATGGGATCTAATTAAACTAAAGAGTTTCTGCACAGCAAAAGAAAGTATCATCAGAGTGAACAGGCAACCTACAGCATGGGAGAAAATTTTTGCAATTTATCCCTCTGACAAAGGGCTATATCCAGTATCTATAAGGAACTTAAACAAATTTACATGAAAAAAATAAACAACCCCATCAAAAAATTGGCAAAGGATATGAACAGACACTTTTCAAAAGAAGACATTTTTGCAGCCAACAAACATGAAAAAAAGCTCATCATCACTGGTCATTAGAGAAATGAAAATCCCACAATGAGATACCACCTCATGCCAGTCAGAATGGCAATCATTAAAAAGTCAAGAAACAACAGATGCTGGAGAGGATGTAGAGAAATAGGAACGCTTTTACACTGTTGGTGGGAGAGTAAATTAGTTCAACCATTGTGGAAGACAGTGTGGCAATTCCTCAATGATCTACAAATAGAAATATCATTTGATCCAACAATCCCATTACTGGGTATATACCCAATGGATTATAAAACATTCTACTATGAAGACACAGGCACACATATGTTTATTGCACCACTATTCACAATAGCAAAGACTTGGAACTAACCCAAATACCCATCAGTGATAGACTGGAAAAAGAAAATTTGGCACGGCTGGGTGCGGTGGTTCACGCCTGTAATCCCAGCACTTTGGGGGACCCAGGCAGGTGGATCACCTGAGATCAGGGGTTTGAGACCAGCCTGACTAACATGGAGAAATCCTGTCTCTACTAAAAATACAAAATTAGCCAAGTGTGGTGGCACATGCCTCTAATCCTAGCTACTTGGGAGGCTGAGGCAGGAGAATTGCTTGAACCCGGGAAGCAGAGGTTGTGGTGAGCCTAGATTACACCATTTACTCCAGCCTGGGAAACTAGAGACAATTCTGTCTCAAAAAATACAAAAACAAAAGTTAATGTGGCACATATACACCATAGAATACTTTGCAGCCATTAAAAAGAATGAGTTCATGTCCTTTGCAGGGACATGGATGAAGCTGGAAACCATCATTCTCCGCTAACTAACAGGAACAGAAAACCAAACACCACATGTTGTCACTCATAAGCGGGAGTTTAACAATGAGAACATGTGGCCATAGGGAAGGGAACATCACACACCAGGGCTTGTTGGGGGGGTGGGGGGCTAGGGGAGAGATAGCATTAGGAGAAATACCTAATGTAGATGATGGATTGATGGGTACAGGAAACCACCATGGCATGTACATACCTATGTAACAAACCTGCATGTTCTGTACATGTATCCCAGAACTTAAAGTATGATAATAAAAAAAAAGATCAATACAAAAAAAAGAAAGAAAAAAGAAAAGTATTCAATATTTCATTCTGAAATATGAAGTTAGGTGAACATTTAGAAGGCCAATACCATATAGAGAAAATTCTTTGTAGTTCCAGTATGCTAATGGTAATTTATTTCTTTATTGTTTGTTTTCTTTATTCATAAATGTGCATTAACTGTCCAGCAATTTTTTTTGCATCTATTCAAATTGTTATATTATTTTTGTCCTTTATTTTAATAGAAAAATAGTTTACTTCAAAAATTTAACATACATTCAGTTTTTAACAATATTATTATTCCTGTGGGTTGCTGAGTTTTTGAATCTATAAGCGGGTGTTCTTCTCCTAAAAAGTTGGGAAGCACTTGCCATTTAAAAACAAATATTTTTCTGCCCCAAACTCCTTTGATTTTTTTTTAGAGAGTGCAATTGCCAGATGCTTTGATATGTCCCACAGGTCACTACATCTCTAATCATTTTTCTTCAATATTATCTTCACTGTTCTTTGTTTTGAATAATTTTCATTGATCAATCTTTACATTCATTAACAATTTCTTCCACCATCTCCAGTCTGCTCTTAAACCCATCCAGTACTTTTCCATTTCAATTATTGAACACTTTAGATCAACTTTGGTATATATTTTGTTGTTTCCACTTCTTGCTGAGATTCCCTTGCTCCCTTGCCCTTCACTCATTGAGATTTCTTTAGAAATTTAAAATAACTTTTTTGAGGTCTTTGCCTGATAAATCCAACACAGGTTCCATATCTGGTTTACTTATATTGACCGCTTTTTTAATTTAATGAGTCACATTTTTCATGTTTCTTTTCATGTTTAATAATTTTCCATTTTTGACTCTGGATATGTGAATTATACATTGCTGAGATTTCAATTCTGGTCTCTTAAAGCAGTGATTTCCTCCCTCACAGGCAGTTAACTTGTGGGTTGGAAAATGTGAACTTCTGTAAGCTTGCTTAGTGCTATTTGTGGGCAGATCTATGAAAAACTTGAGCTGCTTTCCAAGTTCCTCTAACTTAGTGGGACTTAAGCTTCATACTCTTTCTCACTTGTGGATCTGGTCAGGGTATGGTTGTAAGCTTTGTTAAGATGGCGCTAGAATTTGACTTATTCTAGGTGTTTCAGCAGGATGTCTGAGGTGTTAGCATGGAATTTTACTGAGGTTTGTCTACTAAGTCAATCTGTAGTGAGTTTCACATTGTTTCATCTCATGCATATGTAGCTCTGCCTGCATTCTGTCTTCCCTAATGCACTGACCTGCAACTTCCAGTTGCTTCAATAACAGAATTCTGACCTCTGCCTCTTCTTAGCTCATCAAGACCATGTTCTGCTAACAGGCTCCTGCCAGCTCCCTGACAGACAGAAAACCTTGTTGAGCATGAAGCTCTAAAGATTTTCCTTTCTCCCTAAATGTTGTACAATGCTCAAAACAGTTTTCTGATTGATTCCAGACTCATTTTCATACTTGTATACTGAAGGAAGGTCTTTTTCGTATTATTTACTATGTCATGACCTGCCACAAAAGTCTCCTGTGATCTGTTTTTACTGATGGCTTTTCTAGACTGGTCAGTTGTTTTTTACTTATCTTCAGCTAATCTCCCTGATCATCACTGATATGCTGTAGGGATTGGATACCCATCCCCTGAACACCAAGACACCTTTATCGAGATAATGTTGCTTAGTCTTCAGGAGCCTGGTCACTCACATAAATGGTGAAATTACAGTGCTGACTTCTGCAGATGCGAGGGCCTGATGGCTACCCCAGGAAATTCCTAAGGCTAATCAATACTCAATCTGTACTCACATTTCATTTCCCAGGATCAGGTAACAGAATATATGTCCTTACCTGTACTTGACAATAGATGACTTTGGGTATGAATGACTTCTTTTCCATGCCATCAGATTTTAATAGTTTTTACTAGGAGCGGAGAAGACCAATTATTATATATCCCCTTTTGTAACCCTGGGCTCCTTTCCACTTTTTTTCCCCCAGTAGATTCATGAGGCCAGGAGGGAGCACTGCAACTTTGCTTAGGTAGTTAAGCATTAACTGTAAGTCTTAAATACCCAAATATTAAATAAACAATCACTCATCTGGAACATATAAAATGTGATCTAAATTTCAACTTTGGAGTAGAGAATTAGTCTTACATTTTACAATCTCTTAGTGACTTGGGTTGCTCTATGCATCTGTGTTAAATAAACTGACCACTCAGACATTTGAAAAGATATTTGTAAACCAAGGTGTTGGGAGTAGACTCTTGTTAAAACTACAAATATTCTAATTCACAAAATATTAGCACCACATATTGCCAAATAGTAACACTTCCAGTCCCTACTGCTGAAGTATATTTCACTTTGCAGTTGCTGAGTCCACAAAATCTTTATAAGCGACTGAGAAACAGTAAACAAAAGTGCAGGTTACTATTACCACCATTTCTTACCATACTGTCTATGGTTTAGGAGAAAAAAGAATTGAGAATAGTTTTTATTTTTTTACACAACTAACAATGTATATCCTTCTTCTGAGACTGGCAATAATTAAAATAAAATGGAAACACATTGTGGCAAAGGGAGCTAACTATATTTACATAAAGATACACATACACACAAACATTAAAATTACAGTTAAACTTTCTTTTGAGATGGAGTCTCGCTCTGTCGCCTAGGATAGAGTGCAGTGGTGCAGTCTCGCCTCACTGCCAGCTCTGCCTCCCGGGTCCACGCCATTCTCCTGCCTCAGCCTCCCGAGTAGCTGGGACCACAGGTGCCCGCCACCACGCCCGGCTAATTTTTCGTGTTTTTAGTAGAGATGGGTTTCACCATGCAGGATGGTCTCGATCTCCTGACCTCATGATCTGCCCGCCTCGGCCTCCCAAAGTGCTGGGATTACAGGCGTGAGCCACCGCGCCCAGCCAAAATTACAGTTAAACTTCTATAATGGCTGGATAGATAACAGGCAATTTACGTTAGATGGTCAGTGAAACTCTACGAAGGAAAGTCATATTTGAAATTAAGTTCTGTAATCCCAGCACTTTGGGAGGCCGAGGCGGGCGGATCACAAGGTCAGGAGATCGAGACCATCCCGGCTAAAACGGTGAAACCCCGTCTCTACTAAAAATACAAAAAAATTAGCCGGGCGTAGTGGCGGGCGCCTGTAGTCCCAGCTACTTGGGAGGCTGAGGCAGGAGAATGGCGTGAACCCGGGAGGCGGAGCTTGCAGTGAGCCGAGATCCCGCCACTGCACTCCAGCCTGGGCGACAGAGCGAGACTCCGTCTCAAAAAAAAAAAAAAAAAAAAAAAAAAAAAAAAAAAAGTTTCAAGAATACAAAAAAAGAGCAATTCATAAGAAGATTCCAGAGAAGAAATTTCTAGCAGTCAACAGTGCAAAGGCACTGAGTCTAGAAATGGCTTGTGTGGTAAGCCATTACAATGGGGGTACTAAAGTGGAGAGGGGTGTTTTCAGGTGAGAACACTTAAGTAAGCAGTAACTGAAAGCTGTATATCTTCTGCACCATTATTTTCAGAAGTCTGTATTTGGTCAAAAATAGTTAACATTTTCTGTATTGCATAAAACCTAACCCTATATTTTGATGAATTTAAAAAATGTTTCTGCATATTTAAGACTAAATTTTATTTACTTCATCAAAAATTAGTCATTTGTATATCATATGCTTATGGAATGATAACCAAGTAAATGAATATAACTGCTCCCAAAGCTCAATTGTCTTCTAATTTTAGTAGGTGTTTCATCATTTAAGAAGGGAACACAATATTGCTAATTTTAAAAATCAATATTTTTTCTCACTTCTCTTCATAATTTTTACTTATGTCGAAAATTGAAAGTGTGCTGTTACCATGGAAGCATTTGTATTTTTGCTTTAAATAGCATTGAGCGCTATTCTCAAATAACAGTATTACCTCATGCTTTTTGGAAACAAATCATTATACCAAAATATTATTCCTGAAAACAACATTGTTCATTCAAAACATATGCTGATATAAGAGGATATTTCAAGCACATGTGTTATATAATTACTTTTCTTATGCTGTTGTATACTTAGTAAAAAATTATGTAACTATATTTGCTGTAGAGTTAGATATCATAACAGAATGCTCACTCTATAAAGATATGGAATCTTTAAAGGTAGTATACCTTTCTTGTAAAAGATACTTATTATTTAATTAAATTGAAATGAACTTCATTTGCATTTGTAAAAGTAGATCTAGTAATAGAAACAATAGAAAAGAAATTCTGGGTAATGATAAAATCAAAGATGCAATCATAGTCAGATAAGGTGGATATAAGGAAGTTACCGCTCTAAAAGGACTGCATGTTTACTGGCTAATTTGTATGAAAGTTAGCATCTCTGAGGATGACGACAAGCCTTGGAATGAATATCATGACTTTACCTCTGGGTGCTAAAATCTTCAATTTATCATGAATAGTTACCTGCAATAAAGAGGCTGTAGAGAGAAGATTATATAGGTGGAGTTCATACATTGTAATATCAGTGTATCCTTTCTTTCTTTCAGGAGAATAGTGATTACATTAAAATGTACAGAATTCAAGAAGATAAGTTTCAATAATCTCCTGGTAGTTGAGGATAGGCATTCATTGGAATACAATAATGCTGTTTTGATTTCAGATATTTATTGTGTTTCATGATTTTGTGCTATTATAATAGTATATATTATATACTACATAGTATAAATATTATTTCATATTAAATCTTTTCTGTTATAATTAGATTACATATTTTATTTATATTTGGAAAATTTAAATATGAGCTCATAGTTAAAGTTGAAAGGAAGTATAAATTAGTAATTAGCATAAGTATATCTGTATTGTATAAAGTAGTGAGAATGAATGTAATCATGTAGGAAATGAGAACAGATGCAAGAGAAGGGTGGGGATTGAGCCATAGGACACTGAGGAATTGAAGATCTGAATGTGGAAGGGAAAAAAAGTAAAGGAAGCTGACGAAGCAAAAGAAAGACTGAGAATGAAATCAGTGTAGCCAAAAGAAGGTATTTCAAGGAGGACGATCAAGTGAAATGAAGGCTAAATTGTGCTTACTGAGTATGGCACAATAGAAATCACTGGAGAACATTTAAAAAATTCAGTAAGTGGTATAGAAAAGCTGATAAGAGCTGGTTCAAAAAAATAAGGGAGGGAAAGAGACAGCTTTAGATATCTTTGAGGGAAAACTACTTATAAAAGACAGCCAAGAGATGGCAGGCCACTTGAGGAAAAAAATGTTCAAGAATCATTCGTTACTTATTTTATTTTGTAAAAGTTTTGTTGCAGTCTCAGTATGTTTATATTAACATAGATATGAACTGGTAGAGAGAAAGCAGTGAAGGAGAGAGCAGGCCAGAAGGGATTGGATGCAAAACACAAGTGGACTGGCTGATCTTAAATGCAAGTAGAGACAACCTATTCATAGTTCTGGGAAGATGCACATTATACATATATATAAGGAGCACATTATACATATATATATTGCAGATAGACTGGTAGATTATGTGAGAGGAGGATGAGTTCGTTGTCTTCTGAATGCTCTTATCTCAATATAAAGGGTTTTAGCGGTTAGCTGTGTTTGAAGAGGAAGTAAGAGTTTCTGGTTGAAAGAAGAGAGGGAAGGCGTGGAATAGTTGTGGTGGCCATGAAATTGTACCCATAAGGTCTCTGAGTGTACATTGCATAACTGGTCCTGCATGATTCACTCTAAAATTTAGCATCTTGTTTATATGCCTGACACATACTTAGGCTGTTTTCAACTAACACAGGCCTATTCCGGAAAGATGGGGGATTTATCTGATGAGTGATTTTGGCTTAAGAATTTCTCAACAGCTGCATTGCACATGACGTTTCTTCACCCAGTCTTCTTCCTTCCATTTCTCTTTCATAGGGGTTAGACCTGCTTTGAGCCTGATGACTCTCTAATCTCCCCCAAGTTCCTGCCCACTTTTCCTCATAAGTGTTTTCTCCAAAAATCTCTTATACGTCAAATTATGTCTTCGTTTTCTGTTTCATGCAGAAGCTGAACTCGCACAGCAGTCATCCATGGAGTTCACAGAATACATTTAGTAAGGAAATATAATAGGATTGGTAAGCAGTTCTCATATTGTGATCATCAATTCAATGTGTAGTTAGTCACAAAGACTGTGTTCATTGTCCATGACATGCCACGTAAAAACAGGACGGTGTGGAAGAGACAGAGACTTAGATTTAATAATGATTAAGTTTCATTACATGATCAAAAGAATGGGTCATATTTAAGTTGATTACTGAGAAACAGAAGGATAAGTGGAGGGGATGGATACTGAAGTAATGGTTGAGTCAATAAATCAAAGGTCTTGATTGAGTAAAAGTAATCTGGAAAAGTACTACAAAAGGATCTGTGAAGAGGAGAGGTAACCCAAGAGTAGGATGATATTTGGGGTGTGCATTTGTTGATAATGACTACACTGTGTGTAACCATAAAAGAGTGGCTGAGGTCAGGTATAGCACAGGCAATTAGAGGATAATTTTTCCATAATAGCCTTGAGTATTTCTGGTGTATCTTTATTTTCATCATACTACCAAATATTAGCAATCTTCTCAATTTATTTATTTTTCCCATACTTCAACTATGAGTTGAAATGTATTGACCTTTTTTTCTGTAAGAAAAAAATATCTGAAAGTAGGCACTGTAAAGACATCTCTCTCTGATGGAACCTGAGATAAATTGTTTTTCTACTGGAAATAATGATTTTTTTTTCTGGATGTAGACAGTACTGTTTTTCAGGTAAGTAAGGGACCATAAATTAACAGAAATATAAAGATATCTGAGCAAAGTATTGCAACGTGAATTCTAATACAAGCAACATAAATATAAATATAAATATGAAAGATATGTCAACTCTTTGAAAAAATAAAACAAGAAGTGATATACACAATGGTGTGTAGAAATAAAGTAATGAATATGTGCCTAATACCAATACATAAAAAATAATGTGAAAAGATTAATATAGAAACTATGCAAGAGGCATTGTTTGGACTTTAAGCACATTTCATATTATTTATAATAGATATTATAAACATATTTCATTTAGTACCATCAAATCTGAATGAATGACCAAAGTTAAGAATATAGAAGAGTTTTAATACAATCTTAATCTTCTTGATAAAAAAAGACTTATTAGCTAAATTCCAAGTTAGAAAAAATGGCAATCATAAAGTATATTTTAATTATTCACAATTACTTGTAAATATCTAATTTAAACAAGTAGTTAACCTACAAACCACTGATCAAAGAAATCAGAGATGAGACAAACAAATGAAAAAAAAAACATTTCATGTTCATTGATAGGAAGAATCAATATAGTTTCAATTTTAAAGTAATCAAAATGCAACATTTTTATATATCCTTTCTGGCAAATTAAATGTCTTAATACTTTTTAAATGTCTTTTCTTGGGCATAATATTAGCAAAATGGCAGAGTAGGAAGCCTCAGATTTTGTTCCCTCCACAGAGATACTACCTTAAAATCAATACAGTATAGAGTCCAAAAACCCTTTATGAAAAACCATAAATTAAATAAGACTGTATTCCATGCAAGCCCAAAGTCAGTAACAGCCACATTGAAACAGGTAAGAAAATATATTTCACATAAATGATAGTATCATCTATATTATAGGCAGTAGACAGTATATGCCTTTTCCCAAGCTGGCACAGGTCAGCAGGTTGAGAGGAACGGCTCAGCTCACAGCTCCTCCAAAGTGAAAAAAGAAAAAAAAAAGAGAAGAGTGGTTTCTCCTTTTAAGGAGAAGAGTGAAACATATGTACAAAGTTCTGTATTTTCAGGGGACTGTCCAATGCTCTGGTTTTTGTCTCAACTTAGGAGGCTGAGGCAGGAGGTTCACTTGAGCCTGCCTGGGAGCTGGGAGGTCAAAGCTGCAGTGAGCCATGACCATGCTGATGCATTTCAGCTTGGGTAACCAAGTGAGACCCTGTCTCAAAAACAAAAACAAATCAACAACCACGACAAAAGCCATCATCAGGTCCTGGGCTTTTTTTTTTTTTGACAGCAGACTTTTTATTACTGATTCAATCTCATTACTCTTTATTGGTCTGTTAATATTTTATATTTCTTTATAATTTAATCCTGGTAGATTATATGTGCTCAAGGATTTATCCATTTTCTCTAGTTTATCTAATTTGTTGGGCATATAATTGTTCATAATAATATTTAAATCTCATGATTTTTAAAAATATTTTTGCCTGAGTGATGTCCTTTCTAAAAGTGAGGTGCTTAAGTCCTCTACTATTACTGTATTACAGTCTATCTCAAATTTTAGTAACATTAATATTTGCTTGTATATTTAAGTACTTTGATATTGGGTGCATAGATATTTACAACTGTTATGTCCTCTGGCTGAACTGACCATGCTGCCATTATGTGATGACTTTTTTGGTTGTCTCTTTCTACAGTTTTTGACTTAAATTCTATTTAATCTGATATAAGTATAGCTTCTCCTTTTTTGTTGTTTTTAACTTTCATTTGCATGGATTTTTTTTTTCATCTCTTTACTTTCAACCTATGTGTGTCCTTACAGGGAAGTTAATCTCTTTTAGGCAGTATATAGTTGGGTATTGTTTTGTTATTTGTCAGCTGCTCTGTGTCTTTTAATTGAAGAATTGCTCCATTTACATGGGTACATAAGAACTTACTATTGCCATTTTATTATTTTTGTTTGTTTGTTTTGCATATACTTTCTTCTTTCTCTTCTACTGTGTGATTTTGTAGTTAAGTAATTTTCTCAAATATTATGTTTTGTTTCCTCACTTCTTGTTTTTAGTGTATCTATTCTAGGTTTTTCTTTGCGGTTACCAAGAGGCTTACAAAAAACACCTTAGAGTTATAGCACATTATTTTAAGCTGATAACACATTACTTTGAACACACGCACTACTTTAATTCCACTTCCCCTGCCCACATTTTGGATTTTTGATATCACAATTTACATATTTTATATTGTACATATTTTATATAACCTAAAATTATTATAGTTATTATTATTTAATAGTTTTGTGATTTAAGCTTCATACTAAAGATATAAGTGAATTACATACTATCTTTACAGTATTAGACTATTCTGAACTTAATTCTCTACTTACTTACTTACTTACCAGTAAGTTTTATTGTTACTCATAAGTGTCTATTTCTTTCTAGTTGAAGAATTCTTTTTAGCATTTTTTGTAAGACATATCTGGAGGTGATAATCTCTCTCAGCTTTTATTTGTCTGAGAAACTCTTTATCTCTCCCTCATTTCTGAAGGATGACTTTGCATAGTACAGTATTTTTGCTGGGTAGGTTTTTTTCTTCAGTATATTGAATATATCATTCTACTCTTTCCTGGTCTGTAAGGTTTCTGCTGAACAGTCTGCTGCTAGGCCTATTGGAGTTCTTTTATATATCATGTTCTTCTTGTTTTCTTGTGAATTTAAAACTTCTCTCTTTGGCTTGAATTTTTGAGAGCTTGATTATAACATATAGTGGGGTCTTTTTGTTTGGAGCGAATCTGATTAGTGAGCTTTGATTTTCCTCTATCTGGTTATTTATATCTTTCTCCAGGTTTGGAAAGTTTTATACTGCATTTTCTTAAAATATTTTTTCTATTCAATTTTCCTCTATTCTCTCTTGAATGCCAATAACTTGTGTATTTGTTCTTTTGATGCAACCCATAAATCCTGTAAGCTTTCTTTATTCTCTTTTATTTATTTTTTATTTTTTCTCTAACTGTACATTATCAAATAACCTGTTTGAATTCACAGATTCTTTCTTCTACTTGATCAATTCTGCTGTTGCCATTTTGTATTAATTTTTCATTTTGTTCTCTGTATTTTTTCTCTGCAGGATATAGGGCTTTTATTATTAATTTAGTCTCTGTTGCATTTCTCTGATAAATTTCTGAATAATTTCTTTATATTTTCTGGAAGTTAGCTGAGCTTTCTTGAAAACAGGTATTTTAAATTTTTTGCTAGGTAGTTCATCTTCTAGATCTCTTCAGGGTCAGTCACTGGCCACTTGTTTTGTCTGTTTGGTGAAATCTTCTTTCCCTGATTATTCTTAATTCTTGTAGCTATATGTGAATGTCTGCACATCTGAGTAGAGGTTTATTCCAGTCTTTGCAGACAGGCTTTGCCTGGGAACCAGCTGGTATGATCCCTAAGCCTGCGACAACTTCAGCCTTTGCAATGTTGAGAGCAACCTAAGTCCAGGACCACTGCTTTCAGTGCAGCCAAGACTGGAGTCCTGTGGCCTTCAAGGCAGGCAGGGCACCTGACAGGCATCCTGTGGCTGCCGAAGCTGACATGGTGCTGGGGTACACCAATCTCTATGGTTACTAAGGACCGATTGTCTCTGAGATTTTTCCAGAACCCAAGGCCACTGTAGTTGTTTGGTGGTGATGTAGCCTGGAAGCTGAGTCTATTGCGAGGATCTACGAGTTCCCATCTGGCCCTGGGGTGAGTCTAGGGGCTCAGTTTATGGGTACTATCCTTGAGCCATGAACTGTGGGGATCTGCTTAGTGCTGTGTTTTACTGTGGTGGGCTCAGTATCAGGATCCAGGGCAATGTCCTGCACTTACTTCCCTTTTTTCACTCCAAGAGGACAGTATTTTTCTCCATGCTCTGCTGCCTGAAGTTAGGATAGGAGTGACATGAATAATGTAAAGTTGTTCTTTTTGCTTCTTTCCATTAATTTATTAGTATTACTACCCGGTATCATGATCCCGCATCTAATTTCTTTAGCTCTTGTGAAGATATTTTTATGCACGTATAGTTGTTCAAATTGATCTTTCTTTGGGGGAATGATGCTAAACTGGTTTATTCTGCCACCTCTCTCCACCCTTTTCCTAATATGGTAAATTTTATGTTGTGTGGTTTGGTTTTGTTTTCAAATAAGACTACAAAGTCCTACTGTTTATGGTAGTTTCATTTGAAAAATTTTAAAGTAATAATAGCTAAATATCTTCTGAAAATTTAGGTAATTCTATCTCCTGAATTTTTAGGTTATTTCTTTTTTATTTTCTAATAGGAATCATAATTGAAACTATACAAGTGTATTTGCAATATCACATTATATAAAGTGATTCTTAGCTACAAAATCTTCATCCATAGTTGTCTGTCATAATAAGCTGACTCCCAATGTCACTCTTTCTTTCCTACATGCTCCCTTAATAAAGTAATTTAAACAAGCAATCTTCAGCTAAACTAAAGTTAAAAATAAAGATCATCGGTATTTCTAAAAGTTGTTAATGCATTAATAAGATAAGAAAAATGCTTCAGAGGATGTACGAATGGTATCATTTGTTTTTGTCTCTCTTCCTGCTAGTAAGTGCTTTTAGTTTCTCACTCAATAGTAAAATAAGCATTCTGTAGACAGAAATTGTCATGCTTCCTTCTTTAAATTATGTCAGATAGAATAATGATTTTATATGTAAATCTTTACTCTGGACTCTCATAATATTAGAACAGAAAGTTTTTGTTATCAGTTCCATTAATTATTTGAAATACAAATGTATTAAACAATCTCAGATTAAACTAAAATGTAAATATAATGATTGATTTGTGATATCATTGTAAAATAATATACATTTTTTAAAGTATTAAGGGGCTCAAATATTATTTTAATGAAGCCCCATCTACATAGCAAGGTACAATAACAAATTCTAATAGAATTTTTTCTAACTATCTGAAATTTTCTTAGAATTTTCTGAAGATTGGTTCAAAATTACTCAAATATCTCCAACGGCTTCCTCTGAATGTATTTAAAACCGCATAATATCTGAGATGTCCAGTAGTATAGAATGGGTCATCACTAGTATAATTATAACATTGCATTTATAAGCTATTACAAGATATTTTGATCTCTTTTTTCAAAAAATACCACAAAATAAGTTTTTCATTGCCAGAACTTTGAATATTTTCTTTTTCTGTGGCAGGAGATATTTATTATAGAGTTGTTCATCTGTCCCTGCAATTTCTATACTTTATGTTTTATTTGTTTCTCCCACAGAAAATTTAAAACACTCTAGAAATAAAGTTTTTTTAAAAAAGGTATTTTCTAGATTGAATTTATCGCAATGTTTAGATCTAAATTTTGTAGGACCTCCTGAATCTAAATTTACAATCTCTATGACATCACACAAACAAAAAACAAAAACCTACAAATTTATTATGAATTATTTATTTCCTTAAATTTATAAATTAATTTAAATTTAAGATTTATTTATGCATTATTCTAATACTAAAAAATAAAAGCTATTTGAAAAATCCAACAAACCAAAATTTTATTATAAGAAAAACTGCATCCATAATTGATGATGATTGTGGCAATGATTGGCTGTAAAACACAAGTTCATAAGAAATGTTATGTCTGTGTTTTCCTGGCAGAAACTACATGTGTTATAGAAAAATGTTTTCAAACTACAACACATAGGGAAAGATAAGGAGAAAATAAGCTGATATATTTAACTGGCACTAGTGTAACAACATGTGAGTCTGCTTTTGAAAAATTTGTTGCAGAATAATATAACAACATCAGTGAAGGTAAGGACATCCCTCATGATTGATTTGTATCTAAAAATTAAAAAAAAGCATATACACGTTTACAAAAAACATGGCAACAGAAGAAAGTTGTGTGAAGAATCACAAGACTTTGTATGGTGATTTAAGAATAGGTTAGTTAAACCTCTCGCTCCATAACCTGTTGAAAGAAAATTTTTATGATCTCATGTCCTAAGACTCTTATGTGCAAAGAAATAAATATATATTTTTATGTATGTATTTATATAGAGTATATACACACATACATACACATACACATAATATATCTGTATATATAATGTGTGTATATACACATATAATGTATAAATACGTTATGTATATCTATGTATTTATGTACTTGTATAATGTATATATATTATATGCTTGTGTTTGTGTATGTGTGTGTGTTGATAGATAGATAGATAGATTCAAATATCCAGAAAATCTATAATAAATGCTTTTTTTTTTTTTTTTTTCTTGAGATGGAGTCTTGCTCTGTTGCCCAGGCTGGAGTGCAGTGGCGCGATCTTGGCTCACTGCAAGCTCCACCTTCCAGGTTCACGCCATTCTCCTGCCTCAGCCTCCCGCGTAGCTGGGACCACAGGCGCCCGCCACCAAGCCCTGCTAATTTTTTTTTTTTTTTTAGTAGAGACAGGGTTTCACCTTGTTAGCCAGGATGGTCTTGATCTCCTGACTTCGTGATCTGCCTGTTTCGACCTCCCAAAGTGCTGAGATTACAGGCGTGAGCCACCGCACCCGGCCAAGAAATGCTTTCTATGAGCACAGCTAGCAGCCTGATTATGATGTCTACGTATAATTTTTCCAGTGAAAAGATCCAGAAATCCTTAGGGAAGTGCCTGATTTTAGGCCTGGAGCAGAAAAAATACATGATAATCATGAATTGTATTTTAACCAAAAATCAAAAAATTACTTAAAAATAATAATGATATATCAAAAGATACAGATGTCAACCTTAAGTAATATAGACCAAGCAAATCAGGAGAAATTTGAGCATTAAAACAGATAATGATATTTACCAATTTTGCCCATCAACTTCAAGAAAAATGTTGAGTATATACTGATATAAATAAATTAGTAAACTTAGTCTTTAATAACAATGGGTTATTTGCATGGTTTTAAAATACCATCTCATAAAATACTTTCTTATAAAAAGAAAGAGTAATTTCACAATTGAGAAGTCTATTAGATGCCACCTTCATCAAAGAATCGAAATAAGCATCACCAATAATTGGAAAATTTATATATTGTGCAAACTGAGGAGGATAGCACTTCAGTGGCATTCTGCACAATCATATTAAATTGTGGACTAACCCAAATTGAGGACATTCTATGAAACAACTCTTTCACATTGTTCGTAAGTGACAAGGTTATAAAAGTCAAAGCAAGAATAAGTAGTTTTTCTAGATTAAAGACTAAAATTAAGACATGACAACTAAATGATTCATGATTCTAAACTGGATCTTTTTTACCATAATGAACATTACTAAGACAATTAGCAGATTATGAGTGGGGTCTGAGGATTAGATTTTACCAAAACATTGATATTAATTTCCGTTTTTTGATTATATTGTTCCCATATAGAAAAATTGTATGCTTGTAGAAAATACACTGCATAATATTTAGGGGAGATTGAATAACATATTGGCAACTTACCCTCAAATACTTCAAGCAAATGAAAGTTCTGTGTTATGTTCTTTCAAATTTTCCTTAACTGATTATTTAAAAATGAAGTATTTATACAAAATTCTAATCCAGATGATAATAATATTGCAAATAACTATTTTGAAGAGCCAAATAGATGCATCTGACATTGATATTTGCAAATTAGTGACATATGCAAGCAATGTCACTAATAACACAGCACAATTCTTTACCTCTGTCATGTTTCTATTGACATGAATTGTAATAAGCTAACTTGGGGAACTTTAAAATGTAAAAATGTACATTTTACAATAATGGAAATGCCAAACAAAATTTAAATAGATTATTTATTTGTCTATTTTTTAATTTTTCTTTACTGAAGTGTCCAAAAATGGATCCTGATGCACAGAAGAACACCTTCACAACATTAGAGTAGTTAAAATGTCCTAAATAATGTATTAAATAACTAATGATAAATTTGATGCTATTTACATGAAGACCTTTATTCCTCAATAGTCATGGTTAAAAAATAAAAAGACAGACTACATGGAAGATTACATTAAAAATGAAGATATCTGAGAAAGGACTAGTTTTCAAAATATGTTTGCATGTGTTTATCAATATATGTATCTGTACATGTCTCTGTCTATGTACCTATGTATATATGGATGGATGTGTCTATTTAAATATTTACATTGTAAAACAATAATAATAAGATGACAGAAAAGCTACTTGAAATATAGATAAAATAAATGAATAAGCACTTCATATAAAGGAATATCTAATGTACATTGGTTCTATATATTGGAGAAAGGACGATCTTCAACAAACGGTGTTGGGAAAACTGGATATTCGTATGTGTAAGAATGAAACTAGACCCCTATCTCTTGCCATATACTAAAATCAAGTCAAAATGGAGTAAAGACTTAAATATAAGACCTCAAACTACGAAACTACTAAAAGAAAACATTGGGGAAACTCTCCAGGACATTGGTCTGGGCAATGATTTCTTAAGTAATACCCCACAAGTACAGGCAACCAAAGTAAGAATGAACAAATGGGATCACATCAAGTTAGAAAGCTTCTGAATAGCAAAGGAAACAATCAACAAAGTGAAGAGACAATTAACAGCATGACAGAAGATATTTGCAATCTATTCATCTGACAAAGGATTAATAACCAGAATATATAAGGAGCTCTAAAGACTCAATTAGAAAAAGTCTAATAATCCAATTTAAAAAACAGGCAAAAGTCTGATTAGACATTTCATAAAAGAAGACATAAAAATGGCAAACAAGTATATGAAAGGTGCTCAACATCACTGATCATCAAAGAAATGCAAATCAAGACTGCAATGTGATATCAGCTCACCCTAGTTACATGCATTTTATCCAAACAATAGGCAATAATGAATGCTGGTGAGGGTGTGAAGAGGGGAACCCTCACACGCTTGGTGGGAATGTAAATTAGTACAGCCACTATGCAGAATAGTGTGGAGGTCTCTCAAAAAACTAAAAATAAAACTCCCATATAAACTAGCAATCCCACTTCTCGGTGTCTACTCTAAAGAAAGGAAATCAGTATATTGAAGATATATCTGAACTCCTATGTTTGTTGCAGCACTATTCACACCCAGTAGCTAAGATCTAGAATCAACCTGTGTCTATCAACAGATGAATGGATAAAGAAAATTTGGTATATAATCACAGTGGAGTGCTATCCAGCCATAAAAAAAATGTGATCCTGTCATTTGCAACAATATGGATGGAATTAGTGGACATTATATTATGTGAAATAAGCCCGACCTAGAAAGACAAACTTCTCATGTTCTCACATTTTTAACTTGTGGAAGCTAAAAATTAAAACAATTGAACTCATGGAGATAGAGAACAGAATGATGGTTACCAGAGGGTGGGAAGGATTGTGGGGAGGGAAGGGAAAGTGGGGATTGTTAAAGAATACAAAAATATAGTTAGTTACATGACTAATATCTAGCATTTGATAGCAATACAGAGTGACTACAGTCAGCAATAATTTGCTGTACATTTTAGAATAACTGAGGGAGTACAGTTGGAATGTTCACAACTCAAAGAAATGATGAATGCTTGAAGTGATGGCTACCCCATTTACTCTGATGTAATTATTAAACATTGTATGCCTGTATCAATATATCTCATGTACCCCAGAAGTATATACACTTACTATATACCAATAAAAATTACAAAAAAATTAAAAAATTAGAAAATGTACATTGGTTCTACCAGTTTGGAAAACTGTTTGGCATTATGTTTTTAAACCTAACATACATATTGTCAATGATAAGAATGCTCATAAAAGCATTATTTATGACAGACCCCAATTAAAAGCATCCATATGTCCACAACAGAGAGCATACACTTTAATTTTGGCTAAAGAAATGCAACTTTCTACTAAGATATTATGTAAATTCTACCCAAATACATCTCACAATTCAAAAGTCTTTTAACAAAAGAGAAAAACATATACATGGGATTCCATGTCAAAAATGATGGGTAGATTTAGATTTTATTTGAAACTTTAGATAATAAAATGACCTAATATACATTATGTTTAATATTGTTTAAAACAAAGGAATGAGTAATGTTCTAAATTTGTGGGATATAGAGAGTTTTATTAGTTTGATAAACATTTCCACTTGAAACAACTAACAGGTAAACAATGAAAACAAAACTATGTTTTATTAAGAAGAATCATGTAAAATTTACATCACTTATGTGGTTAAACAATTCTAAAATCTTAGGTTATAAGTAGAGTTGGAAGAGGCCTGGATTTTTTTTCTAAACTTTTATTTTAGTTTCTGGGGTACATGTGAAGATTTTATTTCCATGAGTTATAAATATTGGCATTATTATAAGTTAAAACTGAAAAATTTGAAGCCTTACTAATTTATAAAAATAATAATTTCATTATATTTTAAGAAGAACACCATATTATTCTCAAAAGTAAAAACAATTATTGAAAAGATTTGCATTGTTTTACATTTTGAAAAATATGATTAGTGCATAGTTTCATAGACAACAGCTGGAATCTCATATCTGCTTCTCCTTTCAATCTGTTATATATTGTTTTGGTTGAAGTAAATGAACAAATTCCGTTCTCACTTAGGTATTTGGGAAAGGGAAAATATTTTAATAATATTTTCAGACAATTGTGGATATTCTTAGGCATACAAAAAGGTTAACGAGTGATAGTTTCTTACAAGTTATTTAAAATGTGACCTGAGAGCATGCCAATGAACTTTTTTTAGTCAATTTTATTTTAATCAATTTCTCTATCCTGTACATGGAACAGATTGTTAACCTATGAGTGATTTTGTCACATTGAGCACTGTACATTGGAAAATATTGGTTTATTGTATTATATAGACAACAAATATTGACACATTGCACTTCATTTCATATTGATTTTTTTATATCAACATGAAATGTCAATAAATAAAAATATTGAAAAGATTGCTATATTCGGCTATAAATTATTTAATAAAAAGAAAAATATATATCAGAAAGCATAAAAAATACACGAAGGATAAAAAAACATATTAATGTAACAACTTGGCAAGAAAAATGTTTATTATGTATAACAATTTTGAGTCAATAACAAGAAGAAATATGTGCAAAAGCTACACACACCCAGTTCACAAAAGAAATATTAGTCCACAAACCTGTAACAAACTATAAAAAATAAAAATTTCCTCAAAACAAAATATTACATCAAATATTAAATTCAACATACATGTTATGTCATTTTTAACAAAAAGGGGAAATATTACATTTAAAAGGGAAGGTGAATTTATATGAAGAATAATATTTTAGCTTTATTTAAGAATATGTAACATAATAGAATGTTGTTTCTATTTATTGGGCTTGTGTTGCATCTTATTTTTTATCTTCATATTTAATTGTACCTCCAAACTTTTCTATTATAATCAATTATTACTTTATAATAGCCAAGTTGAATAAGATAGTTGTCCTAGAGAATGTTATTTTCAAATTGATTTTTTTAGATAAATATGACTTTACATATAAAGTCAGATGGTGAGGTCAAAGTAGAAGAGTCTTTCTGTATTTTTTTACATTTTACCAGTAATATATATGGCAGAATACTTGCTTCTTGTATTTCATATGCATGGCTGTACTTCTCCATACCATTCATTAGTATGACAACTGTTAAAATTTTGATTAATCATTGGTTATCTCTGTAAAATATGAACAGATGTGAATCTTTGAGTTGGAACTATTAGCAAATCACTCATGCTTTGTAAAATCACTAATGCAAATCACTCACCCCTTTCCAGCTCCCCATCCACCCCCTGAGAGCCACCTCCATCACTTAATAAAATCCCTGCATTCACCATCCTTCAAGTCCATGTGACTTGATTTTTCCTGTACTCCGGACAAGGACCTGGGTACAAAGAGTGAGGGGTGTAAAAGGCTGTCATCCTGACTCGCCACTGAGCTGGTTACCACTTAGCCATCAATGATGCAAAGCTAAAAGAGCATTGTAACACCCATGGACACTGCCGTAGGGCTGGAGCCCCCCCTCAAAAAAAAAAGCTCCCTTCCTGTTTTACCTGCATGCACCCCCTCCTGTATGCATGGTGGCCAAGTAAATGAGCCACCCCCTTCACAAGGGTTCCCATGAAGGGGTCAAGGAAATTCTCCTGTCTCATTCGTATTCACCGTTTTTAATTTTTATTTATTTATTATTATTTTGTCTTTTATTATACTTTAAGTCATGGGATACATGTGCAGAACACGCAGGTTTGTTACATAGGTATACACGTGCCATGGTGGTTTGCTGTACCCATCAACCTATCATCTACATTAGGTATTTCTCCTAATGCTATCCCTCCCCTAGCCCCCCATCCTCTGACAGGCCCTGGTGCTTGATGTTCCCCTCCCTGTGTCCATGTGTTCTCATTGTTCAACTCCCACTTATGAGTGAGAACATGTGGTGTTTGGTTTTCTGTTCTTGTGTTAGTTTGCTGAGAGTGATGGTTTCCAGCTTCATCCATGACCCTGCAAAGGACATGAACTCATTCTTTTTTATGGCTGCATGGTATTCCATGATGTATATGTTTCACATTTTCTTTATCCAGTCTATCATGGATGGGCATTTGAGTTGGTTCCAAGTATTTGCTATTGTGAACGGTGCTGCAATAAACATACATGTATATGTGTCTTAATAGTAGAATGATTTATAATCCTTTGGGTATATACCCAGTAATGGGATTGCTGGGTCAACTGGTATTTCTGGTTCTAGATCCTTTTATTCTACTAATAGATATCATATTTTTCCTCACTTAATCCCATCATGCCTTATTCCCCTTTTAATTACACAAATAATTTAAAGAAACATTTGTAACACAACTTAATTCAGATAAAGCTTTATGAGTTTAAGAGACAAAATCAAAATGGGGAATGCAGATAAAATAGTTTGAAATTTATTGAATATAAAAAATTGGTTTACAAACATTTCCATTCATAAATTATTTTATTTCACTTAGCCTATGGAATTTTTCTCTCTATAGAAACAATAACTTCACATTGCTGTGATTTTAATCAGACATTTTCAAAATGTAAGTTAGATACTTGGGAATATTTGAAAATGTAATACGTATGATTGTGTACATATTGCATTTCTTGCATACCATTGTTATTGTTGTGTTTATGTAGAGGGATGTTCTTTGTCTTAGGGAATGCACATTGACGTATTTAAACATGATATATTTTAGTAACCTGATGCCTAAAATTTACTTTTCTATGTAGCAAAAAAATGTCTGTGTGTGTGTATGTGTAGAGATAAAAAGAGAGGAGACTGAGATAGAACGAGAATGAACAAAAAGTGTAAACACAAATATGCATTTTACATATATTTATATAGAAATATATCACATAGAAATTATATATATTAATTTTATGTATAAATATAAAATATAATTAAATTTTTCTATATAAGCTACATAATTTTTTCCAATTTTATCTTTAAAAATAAATGATTTTGCTACCCCTTATAAATCATAATTGCAAATTATGTTTTTTATTGGTGTCCAAATTTAGAAAATAGATTATTCTCAACATTTATTCAATTTACTGTAAAACCATGTGTATCATCGATACCCTCATAGTCTTACTTCCATTTGTTCTCTCTTGAAAGTTATCAGTGCTGTCTTCTTTTAAGAATTTTCATTATTTTTTAAAGCCTGCTAAACTCTCAAGAACTCTTACCATTATGAATGACCCCATCATTCTTAAAATATATCTTCTCACTTGTCCCCAGACCTTCCTTCTTATGATTCTGCCCCCTGCTTCTACTAAATTGCTGCCTATCACCCAAGGCTAGGTCTATGACTCTGATATGAGAAAAATAGATGAGACTCCTTTGTGTCATATTGTGGAATGTATGATTTAAAGCTTGTCACATATTGAAGATGGAAACAATGCATCATTATGCTATCTCTATTCGGTGTTAAATAGCCATTTTAGTCTTACTGCTTCCAGTTTTAGACTCTTTAACAATTTGCTAAAGATCCAATACTTGGTCAGTGCTTCACTTCAGGGGTATTGAGTACAGTATATTACCACCACCGGAAAATGAATTTCTTTTTTCTTTTGTTCTTTAATATATTTTATTTGTGGACATACATAACAGATCAAACTTATGTGACATATTGAATTTGTAATAAATCAAGATTCTCTGTTAGTAATTTATTACCCTTAATTTGTAAACCTCCCCCACTTCATACTGATTGCCTTGATTTTTTAAAGCTTAACGTTACATTTAATATAATCTTTTCCCAATTTCCCTAAGTACAGAATTGTTTTCCTGTAATCTTTTGTTTTCTGCTTTTATGATGTGTACAAATTTAATTCTTTTTGTATCTTACTTATTTTTGAGGATTATATTATATATATATTTGACAAACAAGCCCTTTAAATTCCTCACGAGCGTACGTCAGAACTACTTACAGTGTCAAGTTTAAGATAGACTCACTTCTGAAATTACATTGGTGCAGTATTAATCAACAATCAATAATTTATGGGTAGAATTTTGTTCAGTTAATGATGAAACTTCCCTTTAAATAGATTTTAGTATGTGGTAGGAAAAAAAGATGAAAATACAACTTTACTTTCAATTATTTGCCATCTATTTAAAGATACGTTGTAAGGGCCTATCTTTATTTCCACACACAGTCTGGTAAAGCTGCCTTTTTTTGAAAAGAAGGAACCTCTTCTGTAAGCCAGATGCATAAACTACTTGACAGATGTTGTATCCCTGCTTTAGCTTCCCAATCATTCTCTTAGATGGATTTACTGCTTTTCTGTGTAAGAAGTGCTGGGTTTCAGTAAAGATGCCAGTAATTTCATACGCAGTGACCTTGGCATGAAGTAACTTTTCCGAAATTGTGAAACAGCAGCTGTGTGAAACTTCTTATTTATCTTTTTTATGCAAAATGTTTACTTTTTTTTCCTCATAAATATAACTTCAGTAGTTTGGTTACCTTGAAGTTGTACATAAAGGGAAATATGTAAGTGCTCATGGTAATGAGGGATATTTAACTCATCAGGATTCTAACTGCAAGCGTTTGCTTTGGTGAAATGCTAAACATTCACTGTGTAATGGGCAGAATAATCATAAAACATCCATTACAGTGTGTTCCCTACATCCTTTTAGGTTGCCTTAAGGAGTAGACAGAAGGTCATAAAAAGTTGTTTTATTTAAGACTCTAACAGCTTTTTTCAAATCAGAAAAATCACAAACGTTGATATGTGTCCTCACAGTGTTCACATAATTGTCATTGAAAATCATGCTCTTAAAAAAAGTGTATCTGTGATGAATACCCACAAATGAGAAAAAGAAAAATATACTCCTAATATTTTCTTCTCAAAATATGTATGCTAAGCTTGATAACATCAATGTTAATTGTTGTCTCAGTTAAGTATACAATAACAAGAATAATATTTATCATTGTAAGTGAGGCAGTGTGAAATCTAAAAATAAATATGTAATGCGATATAATGGAAACTTAAATTCCCAAAGCTATGATTGGTCATAGTTGGATGATCTTTAATTTTAAAGATTTGACTTTTAATAGAGATTTTTTACTTTTCATTCAACTCCATTTTATAGTTTTAGTGAGTTTTGTGACACAGTCACTTATATTGAGGCTGCATAGATTTGAGAAAGTTCCTTTTTAACCAATTTTGTAAGAATTTTTGATCAAAATGTGCCAAGATAGTATGATTTTCAGGAAAAATTAAGAGCAGCACTTTCATTTTACATATCTGAAAATGATGGCAACATAAATTGATTTTTATGAGTTTCTCCACTGCCTGTGATTATAATTTAATAGGCACTATACAAATCCAAAATTTTATTAAATATTAGAACATAATACAATGCAGAATCAAACATTTGTCTGTATAAAAATACATTAGTTCTTTGTATCTGCCACTTATTTTCACTTTGTTATTGATATCTTTGAACCATCATTCTTTTTCTTTAGAGACAGGTTCCTTCTCTGTTACCCAGGCTAGAATGCAGTGACATGATCTGCAACCTCTGTCTCCTGGGTTCAAGCAATTCTGGTGTCTCAGCCTCCCAAGCAGCAGGAACTACAGGCACGCACCACCACTCTGGGCTAATTTTTGTATTTTTAGTAGAGACGGGTTTTGCCATGTTAGCCAGGCTGAGCCAACATTCTTTTTATGTGTATATCTAACCTATGTTCTTAGTGATTGTGTTATGTAAAACAATTCAAACAATTAGTGGTATATTATTTTATGGAAAATAACGAATGAGAAAGGCCATAAAGTGATCCAGAAATTATAGAAGAAAACTGACTTTATTCTACTTAGCTACATGTGTAATTGGTTGTTATTGTTCTCATCAGGATAATGCAGATGTGGATGGTAAAGATTCAAGAGACATGTAATCCAGCATTTCATTGTCAGCAAATGTATTAACTATCTTAAGCATTGGTTGCCTACATAATGAAACTTGTAGAGTTTAGAAACTGTGTGTATATTGTAGGGTGGTTGTGAGTATTAAGGAAATTAATGCATATAAAATGTTGCACACTGTACATTGCAAATATTAAATATAGTTCATTTTGTTCTCAGAATGTAGCTAAAAAATTGTTCAGTCAGAGTTCTGAGTTCAATAAATACTGCTGTTTGTTATTTTTTATTTGTGCTTATGATGTTAAAACACAGTAAAAATCTACTGTGTCTGTTGGTATCAAAATTTAGCATGTCCTTTTTTTCTTAGCCTTAATTCATGGTTATATAAAAGCATACATACAAAAGTCTTATTCCTAACTCTATTTTTCCAAATTATTCCCATGATCCCCTATAGAAAGCCATTTCACTAGTGTCAGGTTATATTTCCCTTATTAAGTAAGCAAATACACATGCATATCATATGCATATGCACACACACACACACACACATATATATGTATTCATTAAATTTTTTCTTATGTATAGTAGATGTACATATTTTGGGGGTTCATGCAAAAATTTAACCAGTAGCTGTTTCATCCTCATATTTGACTTAGGGGATATTCCTGGGATAATGTCAGTGATATATATTTGTCTCTGGTTTTCCATGGTGGTGAGGAGTGGAACCAGTTTGGTTCTACACCACTATTTTGGAACCAGAAGTATAATTGTTTTTTTAAATCTACAATATCATATGTAATACTCTTGAATTTTGATTTTTTAATGATAGCAACACAATAAATAATTCCATGAGTTATTTTTTATATTTGTGCTAGAAGTATGGTAGCAGGTTTTAAGCAAATATGCGTATGTATACATATGTAATTGTGTTAATTATTGGCAAATTCACCTTCGTAAGAGTATCATTTGTTATTCCCACAAGCAGTGAGCAGATGAGCTAGTTTGAATAAAGACTTGCCATCAGTGATGTTGTCAACTTTAAGGTTTTTAGCAAACTAATAGGAAAGCAATGGTGTGATAATGTATTTTAAATGTGCAATTTTCTTCATTTTTTAAAAAAAATCAACTTTCATTTTAGATTCAGGTAGCACATGTGCAGGTTTGTTACACATGGGTATATTGTGTGATGCTGAGATTTGGGGTATGAGTAAACCCATCACCTAGGTAGTGAGCATACACACACATACACACGTACAACACAATAGGTAGTTTTTCAACCTTTAACCTTTCCTCCCTCCATTAGTAGTCCCAGGTTGTGTTGTTCCCATCTTTACGTCCATTTGTACCAAATGTTTAGCTCCCACTTATAAGTGAGTGAATATAGTATTTGGTTTTCTCTGTGTTAATTGGTTTAGAACAACAGCAACCAACTTCACCTTGCTGATTCAAAGGACATGATTTAATTCTTTTTATGACTATGCAGTATTCCATAGTGTATATGTACTATATTTCCTTTATCCAATCTATTATTGATGGGTATCTAGTTTGATTCCATGTCTTTGTTATTGTGCATAGTGCTATAATGTGCTATAATAATTTATATTATAAATTTTATCATATAAAATATTAGTACATGTGTCTTTTTAGTAGAATGATTTATTTTATTTTGGGAGTTTCCCCAGTAATGATATTGCTGAGTGAAATTGTAATTCTGTTTTTAGTTCTTTGAGAAATCTCCAAACTGCTTTTAATAGTGGCTGAACTTACATTCACACAAACAATGTATGTGCTTTCCCTTTTCAACACAACTTTGCCAGCATCCATTATTTTTTGACTACTTAATAAGCCATTCTGACTGGTGTAGCATATCTAATTGCAGTTTTGATTTGCTTAAAAACTACATCATCAGTCAACAATCATCATCTCTCATGATTAGTGATGTTGAACATTTTTCATATGTTTGTTGGCCACATGTATGTCTTCTTTTGAGAAGTGTCTGTTTATGTCCTTTGTCCACTTTCTAATGGGGTTATTTGTTTTTTGTTGTTATATATTATAGATTATTGTTATAGATTCTGAATATTAAACCTTTCTCAGATGCGTAGTTTATGAGTATTTTCTACCATTCTATAGGTTTTCTGTTTACTTTGTTGATACTTTGTTTTGCTGTTTAGAAGCTTTTTAGTTTAGTTAGGTCCCACTTACCAAATTTTGGTTTTGTTACAATTGCTTTTGGGGATCTAGTCATACATTCTTTGCCAAGTCTGATGGCCAGAATGGTATTTCCTAGGTTGTATTCTAGGATTTTTATAGTTTTAGGTCCTTAATTCTTTTTAAGTTAATTTTTGTATATGGTGAAAGATAGGGGTCCTGTTTCACTCCTCTGCATATGGATAGTCAGTTTTCCAAGCACTTTTTTCATTAAATAGGAAGTCTTTTCCATATTGCTCATTTTTGAAGGTCTGATGGCTGTAGGTGTGCAGCTTTATTTCTGGATTCTCTATTTGGTTCCACTGGCCTATGTGTCTGTCATTGTACCAATACCATGCTGTTTTGTTTATTGTTGCCTTGTAGTATAGTTCAAAGTTGGGTAATGTAATGCCTTTGACTTTGTTCCTTTTACTTACCACAGTCTTGGCTACTTAGGCTGTTTTTTGGTTCCATATGAATTTTAGAGTAGTTTTTTTTTCTAATTCTGTGAGAAATGATGTTGATGGTTTGATAGGAATAGCATTGAATCTGTAGATTGCTTTGGGCAACATGGACATTTTGATGATATTGATTTTTCCAATCCATGAGCATGGAAAGTGTTTCCATTTGTTTGTATCTCTACAATTTTGTTCAGCAGTGCTTTTTACCTGTCCTTGTAGAGATCTTCCACTTCCTTAGCTAAATGTATTCCTTGTTATTTTATTATTTGTGTGGCTATTGTAAATAGGATTGTATGCTTTATTTGGTGCTTAGCTTGAATGTTATTGGTATATAGCACTGCCACTGATTTTAGTACATTGATTTTGTGTCCTACACTTTATTGAAATCATTTATCAGGTCTAGTAGCCTTTTGGTGAACTTTTCAGGATTTTCTCCATATAGAATATATCTTCAGTGAAGAAAGATAATTTCACTTCTTCTTTTCCTGTTTGGATGCCTTTTCTTTTATCTGATTTCTCTGGCTAGGAATTCCAGTAGTATGTTGAATAGGAGTGGTGAGGGTGGGCATTGGTATCTTATTCCACTTCTTAAGGGGAATGCTTCCAGCTTTTGCCTGTTCAGTATGATGTTGGCTGTGGGTTTGTCATGGATGGCTCTTATTATTTTGAGAATGTTTTTTTCAATATTGAAGGTTTTTATCGTAAAGAAAAAATCTACTTTGTAGAGGGTTTTTATCATAAAGGGAAATTGAATTTTACTGAAAACTCTCTGTGTCTATTGATATAATCATATGGTACTGTTTTTAATTCCGTTTATGTGATGAATCACATTTATTGATTTATGTATGTTGAACCAACTTGGTATCCAAAGAATAAAACCGACTTGATTGTGGTGAACTAACTTTTTGCTGTGCTGCTGGATTTACTTTGCAAGTATTTTGTTAAGAATTTTGCGTCTATGTTCATGAGGGAAATTTGTCTAAAGTTTTCTTTTCTGTTGCATCTTTGCCAGATTTTGGTATGAAAATAATTCTGGCTTCGTAGAATGAGTTAGGGAGGAGACCTTCCTCCTTGATTTTTTAAAATAGTTTCAGTAGGATTGGTAGCTGCTCTTCTTTGTGCATCTGGCAGAATTTGGCTGTGACTCTGTCTTGCACAGGGCTGTTTCTGGCTGGTAGTTTTTGTTTGTTTATTTGTTTGTTTTTGCTGATGCAATGTAGTAACTCATTATTAGTCTGATCCGGAATTCAATTTCTCCCTGATTCATCCTTGGGAGTTTGTGTGCTTCCACGAACTTATCCATTTCCTCTAGATTTTCTACTTTATGTTCACAGAGGTATTCACAGTAGTCTCTGAGGATCTTTTGTATTTCTGAGGGATTGGTTGTAACATTGCCTTTGTCATTTCTCAGTGTATTTATTTGGATCTTCTCTTTTGTTTTTTTCTTTACTAATCTAGCTAATGGTCCATATATCTTGTTTATCCATTGAAATAACCAACTTTCATTATTTAATTCTTTGCATGGATTTGGGAGCCTAAATTTTATTTAATTTTCTTTAGCTAAGTTTTATTGATTTATAATTTTTATTTAGCTACTCTGATTTTAGTCATTTCTTTTCTTCTGTTAGATTTAGTGTGTATTTGTTGTTTTTCTATTTTCTCTTGGTTAAATTAGATTATTAATTTTATTAATTTGAGATCTTTCTAACTTGTCTGAGTAGGTGTTTGGGGTCACTAACTTTCATCTTAACACTGCTTTTGCTGAATCCGAGTGATTTCAGATGCAACGTCTTTCTTTTTACTCATATCATAGAACATTTCTGCCTTAGTTTCATTGTTTACCCAAAAGTAATTCAGAAGCAAGTCATGTAGCCTTTTTTTTTGAGATGGAGTCTCGCTCTGTCGCCCAGGCTGGAGTGCAGTGGCATGATCTCTGCTCACTGAAAGCTCCGCCTCCCAAGTTCACGCCATTCTCCTGCCTCAGTCTCCCAAGTAGCTGGGACTACAGGCGCCCGCCACCATGCCTGGCTAATTTTTTGTATTTTTTTAGTAGAGACGGGGTTTCACCATGTTAGCCAGGATGGTCTCGATCTCCTGACCTTGTGATCCACCCGCCTCGGCCTCCCAAAGTGCTGGGATTACAGGCATGAGCCACTGCTCCCGGCCAGCTTTTTTGTAATTTAGTTTTGAGAGTTTCTCTTGATATGGATTTTTACATCATTCTACTGTTTTCTGAGAACATGTTTTGTATGAATTAGATTTTTTGAACTTATTGAAACTTGCTTCATGGCTGAGCATGTGATCAATCTTACAGTATTTTTCATATAAAGATGGGAAGACTTTCTATTCTATATTTGTTGCATGGGGTGTTATATAGATGTCTATTATCTATAGTTCCAGTTGTTCAAATTTAATACCAGTGGAATTTAAGCTCAGAATTTCTTTGTTCATTTTCTGCCCCAATGATCTATCTGTCTAACACTGTCAGTGGGTTGTTGAAGTCCCCCAGAATTTTTGTGTGGCTGTGCAAATATATTTGTAGGTCTAGAAATATCTTGTTTTATGAATCTGGGTGCTACAATTTTGGGTGTGTATATACTTAGCATGGTTAAGTCCTCTTGTTGAATTGAAGTCTTTATCATTATGTAACATCCTTCTTTGTCTGTTTTTACTGTTATTAGTTTAAAGTCTCTTTCATATGATATAAGAATAATGACATCTGCTTTTTCTTGTTTTCCTTTTTCTTGCCATAGATCTTTCTTCCTCAGTTTACTCTGAGACTGTGGGTGTCATTTCATGGGAGATGGGTCTCTTGAAGAGAGCAGAAAGGTAGTTCTTTTTTAAAATCCAACTTACCACTCTGTGCTTTTTATGTGGGTCATTTCAACGATTTATATTAAAGGTTAATACTGATATGTAAGCTTTTGATCCTGTGGTGGTGCCAGCTGGTTGCTTTGCAGTCTTGCATAGTTGCTTTATAGAACCTGTGGGCTATGTAGTTGTCTGTGCTTTTGTGGTAGCAGATATTGTTCTTTTGCTTCCAAGTTTAGAATTCCCTTAAGGAACTCTTGTAATGCTGCCTAATGATAAAGAATTTCTTTAGCCACTGCTTCCCTGTAAATGATTTTATATCTTATTTGCTTATGAAACTTAGTTTGCTGGATATGAAATTTACGATCAGAATTTCTTTTCTAAGAAATAAAAGAAAAATGGTAAAAATAGGCCTCCAGTCTCTTCTGCCTTCTAGAGTTTCTGCTGAAGAGTCTACTGTTAGCCTGATAGAGTTCCCTTTGTAAGTGATCTGACCATTTTCTCTAGTTGCTTTAAAAGTTTTTCATTTTATATAATTTTAAAATTTACTTTCATAGAGTTCTGAAAAGTTGTCTATCATGATATTTCAGCTTTTTTCTGCATTAATAATTATTTTACTTGTCATATTTTTTATTTTTGCTATATCTACTTTTTAATTTATCAGCTTACCTAGTGATTTTGCATTTTGTTGATTCTTTTAAATAATGAGCATTTAAATTTACTTATTAACTGTTTTAACCTTACAACATTCTGCTTTTATCTTTATTATTTTCTTTTACTATTTTGTTTTGGTTTGTTTTTTGTTCTTCTTCTAGATTTTTCATTTGGAATTTAATTCCCCTATTTTTATCTTTTATTTTATTTTTTGATGTTGGGGAATAAGGAGATACAGCGACTGGCCTGATCTCTGTCTACTCTTTTCTCAGGCCCAAACTTTACTCCAGACACTCTACCTCAAAGGAAAGAGAATAAGTCAGAACACATAACATAATCTTTCTATGAACCAGATCTTCTGGTAGATAGGCTAATGCTATTTCCTAGGAGGAGATAACTTGTCTATTGAATATGCTTAGCGGGAGGAACATGACAAATTTTACATTCCATAGATAAAAATCCCACTATATGAAGTTGGTGGGGATATCTTCTCCTGTTAGATGTTTCTTCTGACTCTGTATTTGATTTATATTCCCTTTCTCCCTCTCACTCTGTTTTCTACATTCCGCACATTTTGTCACAAATTCAATTTTGATTTAGAAGTAAGTATGTGAGTTTATTTCTATTTGGCTACTTATGCTCCATACTTACTCAGGCCTAATTTAACTTAATTTTTAAGCTTTGGGTTTTCAAGACAACACAGGTAGAATATAAAGATATCTCTACTTAACATCAATAACCCAGTACATTAAATCAGACTTTCTGCAGGAAAAGATTTATCATGTATTTAATTCTTATTCTTTATTAACTTTTTCAGCATTTTACAAAGACATTTTCGTATGTGCAAAAAATTTGAAAGAAATGAATCCTACACACTCACATTCTATAACTGTGATTTAACAATTAACATTTACTTTATTTGCTTTATTATCTATCTATGCATCCATCCATCAATTTTTATTTAATTTTAAACTTGCAGACATTATTTTCATTCAAAAACATTTTTGCATGCTAGAGTTAACTAGAGTTGGATACCTTTAAATGATCTTTTTAAGGTCAAATTTACATAGAATAAAGGCAGCAATCTAAGTATACTAATGTGTTTTAGAAAATGCATACACTTGTAACTAAAAGTTCTGTCAAAATGGAGATCATTACCATCACCCTTTTTGTCAATCTCTACCTCCAAATGCTGATAGGCAACCACTATTCTTTCCTTTGTCAGCACCAACTATTACTTTTGCTTGCTCCAGATTTCAGTGACTTGAAATTATGTATTATGAAATCTTGTGTAAGACATTTCACTCAGTTTAATGTTTTCGACATTTACCTATGTGGTTGTATGATTTTGCATTTTTAAAAAAGAAAAAATAATATATTTGACATGTCACAGAAAGACCCCCTAAGAGATTTCTAAGTAGCACAACTAAGAGTTACATGTCTATGTGTAAGAAATAAAGTATCATGTTAGGATACAAATATTTTAAACAGTTTCTACTGGATTAGCAAAAGTACATATGATTGTTAAATAAAAAGTTCCCTTGTGTATAGTATGATTTCCCTTAGTGCCTCCTAATACATTTTATATGCATTAGCTTTGTTGATGCTTAAAATGTTTTTCTAAACATCATTATTTGATTTTTAAACTCTGCAAATTGCATTTGATATATAAATTGAGATAATCTCTGCATGCTCATTTATAATTCAGTGAGCTTTGTAAATATGCATATATTTTTCTTGTATATATCGGCTGAAAAACATTATAATGACAGATCTACTCCATAAAATATTTGGATATCAAAAACCAAGAGATCTTTCCCTAAAAAAAACAGTAATTGAGGAGATGTTATGTAGAATATGTTTGTATTGGAATTCAAGTTTGCCTTGTTTTCAATTTTTTCTTTTCTTAGTATTCTGCTAGCTAATGTGTTCTTTCTTCTATAAACTTTCATTGGAGGTTAGTCCCAGGACCCAGCATGAGTCCAAGACTCCACTCTCCCTAATATGGTCATTACAACCCATGCTTCTTGTTTAATTACACAATACATTCATAGCTTCAGCAATAACTTACCATTTCTTTTTCAATTATCAATTTTTTATTACTCTTGTTTATTGCTTATTTTCTGTACTTTTTTGTGAACTCAGCTATGCATGTTATAGAATATTAATAAAAAACATTTTATCAATAATGTTTAAGTGTGTTTAATCAAAGTTATTTTAAAGATATTTAGTTAGTCATAGTGCAAGAAATAGAAGTTGATCTTGGTAAATGTGTTTTAAAGATTATAGTAGGATATTTTAACCTTTTTTGTTCCTTTTTTGTTTGGTTTGATTAAATTTATTAGCATTGAGTGAAAGAAAATTTGTAATGAAGCTGCATATTTCTATATGTACTGCCAATTTTACTAATGGTCTTCCCCCCAGTGATGTTTACACTATTCATTATTATTGATTTAAAATCATTAGCAATTTACTTTTTAATTTTAAACTTTCTATATAATGTATTATTTAACTACTAGTATAAATTGTTTTCTGAATTTTCATAGGACATTGCTGATTTCTTATTGTTTGAGTAATATTTCAAAGTTATTGCCTCAAATGTCAGCAAATAATCCAAAACAAGTAAACTTGTCAAACATCCTTTAGCTTATGCTAATTACACATTTTATTGATAAAGCAACTACTTGTTTTTATGTAGCAATGCAATTTTTAGTCAGTTCAGGAGTTAGAAGTTTTAGTCTACAAAATAGTCAAGTATCTATCAAGCTCATGAATATGAACCCTAATGCAGTCATTCTTGGAATAAAGTTCCATTCGCTCATCTGCTTACATTTTAGAGTCTCCATTGTGTAACATAATGCCTGTCATATAATAAATGAAAGGCAAATTAAATATTTGGTGAATGTACTATCGTACTAGCATGATTTTGTGAAACACTCAGCAATTCAGGGAAAGCAGTCAGTGTGGTTGCTCACAGTTGGAGATTGGCAATGCAGTAATAACATGACAACAAAATCAGTTGAAGATTATATTGTATTATTGAAAGGGCTGAAAACATTACACAGGATAATACATTCCGAACTAAGAGGAAAAATCACAACAAAAGTAGCAAAGAAATAGACAATATGAAATGATGGAAGATTGAACTCAGAAAGAAATATTTAAAGAGAATGAAATGTATGCTGGCTTCATGAAATTTATTTATCTTCTTATTTAATGCATATTTCATTCATATGTAAAATTATCAAAGGCTTCTCTAGGTTTTAACCAGATAGCTATGCCTATTGGTACTCATAGTATGTAACTAATATCTTAGAAAAATTAGGTGCTATTTTTTAGTATTTTCTCTTGCAATAATCTTTTCCATAAAATCGTGGATTATCCCTTTCTCTATTTTTCATCTCTTTTTTGGTGGGGGGTATCTTTTGAGGGTGCATTCTCCTTTCCCCCAGTGTTTTCTGTTTTGCTACCAGTTCTTGGCCTTTTTCGTAGCTAGTAACCTCCCCTAAAAGGACATCATCTGTACTTTATTTTCAATTATCACACAGAAGAGCAGTTCAGAACTGTTACTGGAGTCTCAGGCGCATCTATCTGTCTGCTTGATATTTCCAACAGGATGTCCCACCAACAATTCAAATTCAACATGTCTAAAGATGAATTCATTTTTAGTGCTCCTCTTGGTTCCTACTCCTGTCACTGATAGTATCAAAGCCCTAATCTCTCTACATGTTTTTGATGAGCAGAGCCATCTTCTACCAGTTGTGCAAACTAGAATTTTAGATATCATTACTGACTTGTTCTGTGTTCTCTCTCCTGTATTTCTGTCAAATTCTGAGCATTCATCTTCTAAACTCATCTCCAATTCATCCACTTGATGTTATCTTCCATTACTAATTTCAGACAATCTTTCTATGTTGATTATTGGAATTAACTGTTCAAATGTGGTCACTTTTGAACATAAAGAGGAAGATAAAAGTGCTTACACCAAGAGACCTTACATAAGCAAAAGTTGGACTGTTTCTGATATCAGAATTATCATATTTCTAACTATAAAGATCTTACCTTATCAACCATTGTTTTTACTCTCATCCATTCTCCTCCTTGCAGTGACAGTTAACTTTTAAAATACAAATTTATCAATAACTCTCTTGCATTGCTCTTAGAATAAATACTATAATTCCTAACATGGTCTATAAGGTCTTGCATAGTCTGGCTTTCACCTATATTTTCAAATACATCGCATAGTTTCTTTGCTTCTCTCCTCATCTTTCTCACTCTGCTCCAGGAATCAGGCTTTTCTCTTTTTTAAATTTTTAAATTTTTATTTTATTTTTGAGACGAAGTCTTACTCTGTCACCCAGGATGGAGTGTAGTGGCACAATCAAAGTTCACTGTAACCTCCGTCTCCGAGGTTCAAGTGATTCTCCTGCCTCAGCCCCCCAAGTAGCTGGGATTACAGGTGCGCACAACCACACCCAGCTAATTTTTTGTATTTTCACTAGAGACCGGGTTTCGCCATGTTGGCCAGTCTGGTCTCGAACTTCTCACCTAAGGAGAGCCACCTGCCTCAGCCTCCCAAAGTGCTGGGTTTACAGCTGTGAGTGCCTGGCTGCTTTTTGTTTTTCAAATGACGGTGCACCTTTGCATTTCAGGATTTTGCATGAGTTGCAGCCTCTTAATGATGCAAATCTTTCCTTCCACTTTGTGCACCCAATCTCTACTGTACATGCAAAGTTCAGCTGAAACATAACTTTATTTTCTCAGATAAATCTTTTCCAACCCTCTTCAAGACCAATGTTAAGAATTCTCGGAGAAGACTTGGCTTTTCCTGTTCAATCCTACCTATTTATGTACAGGTAATTGTACATAAGTTACATGTACATTTCATTGTTTAATTCCTGTCCCCTACTAGAATGTCAGCCTCATGCAAGAAAAAATTGTGAATGTGTCATTTGCCTTTTTTTTTATTTCTCTTGTTTTCTTTATTCTTTTTTTAATTTCAACAACTTTACAAGTGAGTTTTGGTTAAAAGGAGGAATTGTAGAGCGGTGAAGTCTTGAATTTTATTGTACCCATCACTCAAAGACTGTCCACTGTACCCCAATAGGTAGGTTTTATCCTCACCCACCTCTAACCCTTCCCCCTTCTGAGTCTTCAATGCCCATTATACTGCTCTGTCTGATTTTGTGTACCTTAGCTTAGCTCCCACTTACAAGTGAGAACATGTGGTATTTGGTTTTCTATTCCTGAGTTGCTTCACTTAGAATAACAGCTCTAATGCCATCTAAGTTGCTGCAAAATACATTATATTATTCTTTTTTATGGCTTAGTACTAGCTCATTTTATATATATATCATATATATATCATATTATAAATATACACATATATTTATATCCCACTTTTTTACCTAGTCATTTATTGATGGGCACTTAGGTTGATTCCATATCTTTTCTACTGTAAATTGTGCTGCAATAAACATGCACACATAGGTGTATTTTTGATATAATGGTTTATTTTCCTTTGGGTAGATACCCTGTAGTGAGATTGTTGAATCATGGTAGATCTACTTTTGGTTCCTTGGGAAATCTCCATACTATTTTCAAAAGAGGCTGTACTAATTTACATTCACACCAGCTGTATTAGTCTCTCCTCACACTACTATGAGGAAATACCTGAAATGGGGTAATTTATAAAGGAAAGAGGTTTAAATGACTCACAGTTCCACACAGCTGGGGAGGCCTCAGGAAACTTAACAATCATAACAGAATGGAGAGCAAATACATCCTTCCTCACATGGTGGCAGGAGAGAGAGTGAATGCCCAGCAAAGGGGGAAGCCGCTTATAAAACCATCAGATCTCATGGGAACTAACTCACTATCATGGGAACAGGATGGGGAAACCTATCCCATGATTCAGTTATCTCCACCTGGTCCCTCCTAGGACACTTGGGGATTATGGGAACTACAATTCAAGATGAGATTTGGGTGGGGACACAGCCAAATCATATTACCAGCAGTTACAAGCATTCCCTTTACTCCACAACCTCACCAGCATCTGTTATTTTTTTGACTGTTTAATCATAGCCATTCTGACTGGTGTGAGATGGTGTTTCATTGTGATTTAATTTTCATTTCACTGATAATTAGTGATGTTGAGCATTTTTCATATTTTTTTGCTATTTGTACATATTTGCGAAATGTTTATTCATGTAATCTGCTCACATTTTAGTGGCATTTTTTTTTTGCTGATTTGAGGTAGATTCTTGATAATATTCTTTTGTTGGCCATGTAGTTTGCAAATATTTTCTCCCATTCTGTAGGTTTTCTATTTACTCTGATGATTATTTCTTTTGCTGTGCAGAAGTTTTTCAGTTTAAATGGGTCTCATTTACTTATTTTTGGTTTGGTTGCATTTGCTTTGAGGATCTTTGTCATACATTCTTTGCCTAGGTCAACATTCAGAATAGTTTTTCCTAGGTTTTCTTACAGAATTTTTATGGTTTCAGTTCTTAAATAATTCATACATCTTTGGTTAATTTTTTGTATATGGTGAGAGAATAGGAATCCAGTTTCATTCTTCTACATGTGAATATCCAATTTTCCAGCCTCATTTATTCACTTTTCCGTGGTTAATATTTGTATGTTTATGTTTTGTATGTTTTCTCAAAGATAAGGTGGTTGTAATTATTTGGCTTTATTTCTGAGTTGTCTATTCTGTTGCATTGGTCTACGTATCTGCTTTTATATCAGTACAAGGCTGTTTTGGTACTGCAGCCTTGTAGTATAACTTGAAGTTGAGTAATGTGATGCCCTCAAATTTATTCTTTTTGCTTAAGAATGCTTTGGCTATTTGGGCTCCTTTTTGGTTCCAAAAGAGTTTTAGGGTTGTTATTCTTTCTAATTCTATTAAGAATGATGTTGATATTTTGGTAGAAATTTCACTGAATCCGTAAATTGCTTTGGGCAGCATGGTCATTTTCATGACATTTGTTTTTCTAATTCATGAACTTGGGATATATTTCCATTTGTTTATGTCATCTATAATTTCTTTCAGCAGTTTTCTTTTTCTTTTTTTTAATTTTTTTATGATACTTTAAGTTCTAGGGTACTTGTGCACAATGTGCATGTTTGTTACATATGTATACATGTGCCATATTGGTGTGCTGCACCCATTAACTCGTCATTTACCTTAGGTATATCTCCTAATGCTATCTCTCCCCCCTCCCTCCACCCCACAACAGGTCCCGGTGTGTGGTGTTCCTCTTCCTGTGTCCAAGTGCTCTCATTGTTCAATTCCCACCTATGAGTGAGAACATGCGGTGTTTGGTTTTTGTCCTTGTGATAGTTTGCTCAGAATGATGGTTTCCAGCTTCATCCATGTCCCTACAAAGGACATGAACTCATCTTTTTTATGACTGCATAGTATTCCATGGTGTATATGTGCCACATTTTCTTAATCCAGTCTATCATTGATGGACATTTGGTTGGGTTCCAAGTCTTTGCTATTGTGAATAGTGCCGCAATAAACGTAAGTGTGCATGTGTCTTTATAGAAGCATGATTTATAATCCTTTGGGTATATACCCAGTAATGGGATGGCTGAGTCAAATGGAATTTCTAGTTCTAGATCCTTGAGGAATCGCCACACTGTCTTCCACAATGGTTCAACTAGTTTACAGTCCCACCAACAGTGTAAAAGTGTTCCTATTTCTCCACATCCTCTCCAGCACCTATTGTTTCCTGACTTTTTAATGATCGCCATTCTAACTTGTGTGAGATGGTATCTCATTGTGGTTTTGATTTGCATTTCTCTGATGGCCAGTGATGATGAGCAGTTTTTCATGTGTCTGTTGGCTGCATAAATGTCTTCTTTTGAGAAGTGTCTGTACATATCCTTTGCCCACTTTTTGATGGGGTTGTTTGTTTTTTTCTTGTAAATTTGTTTGAGTTCATTGTAGATTCTGGATATTAGCCCTTTGTCAGATGAGTAGATTGCAAAAAATTTCTCCCATTCTGTAGGTTGCCTGTTCACTCTGATGGTAGTTTCTTTTGCTGTGCAGAAGCTCTTTAGTTTAATTAGATCCCATTTGTCAATTTTCGCTTTTGTTGCCATTGCTTTTGGTGTTTTAGACATGAAGTCCTTGCCCATGCCTATGCCCTGAATGGTATTGCCTAGGTTTTCTTCTAGGGTTTTTATGGTTTTAGGTCTAACATTTAAGTCATTAATCCATCTTGAATTAATTTTTATATAAGGTGTAAGGAAGGGATCCAGTTTCAACTTTCTACATATGACTAGCCATTTTTCCTAGCACCATTTATTAAATAGGGAATCCTTTTTATATATGGCTTTTATTATTTTGAGGTATGTTCCTTTTATGCCTAATTTGTTGAAGGTTTTAAGAATGCTGAATTTTATTGGCTCTTTTTTCTGCATCTATTGAGATGATCATACGGTTCTTGTTTTTAATTATTTTTATGTGATCTGTCACATTTATTGATTTGCATATCTTGAACCATTCCTCCCTCCCTGGGATAAAACGCCTTGATCACGGTGAATTATTTTTTTGATGTGTTGTTAAATTTGGTTTGCTAGTATGTTATTAGGAATTTTTGTTGTTCATCAGGAATATTGTCCTGTAATTGTCTTTTTTTTTTTTTTTGTCACATCCTTTCCTCCTTTGGCATTTGGGTAAGAGTGGCTTAGTAGAACGAGTTAGGTAGGATTCCTTCCTTCTCAATCTTAGGCCATAGTGTCAGTAGGATTGATACCAATTCTTCTTTCCAATGTCTGGTGGAAACTGGCTGTGAATTCATGTGGTCCTGGGCTTTTCTGTTGTTGCTGTTGGGCGGATTATGAATTACTGATTCAATCTCACTGCACATTTATCTTTTTATTCTTCCTAACTTTAAATTTTAATTGCAGAAAAAAATACAAAAACAGGCTCATAATATGTAGAAAATGCTACTGTCCTAATATTCTGTTTAGTTTAGTGTTTCATTTAGAGTAATTAGTAAGGATGCATTCTAAAATGGATGGGAGAAGATAGACCAATAGCACAGGAAAGATATTTTTATCTGCAGTCTAATTATCAACTTTTCACCACCAGGAATTCTAACAAAATTACTCTCTCAAAATGGACTGTTAATTGGCAAATCCAATCTATTATCTTGAGTTTCTATCTTTGTTGACTTCTATAGTACTGGCAACTACATATTTTCAAAGAATTTGTTCCCAAATGCTGCTGTATCCTATTTTTTTCTCTAATTCCTCTGATTCTTGGACCTTTTCTCAGCCAATAACCTACACCAAAAAGATTTTATCTGTACCCCATTTTCAACATATTATATTCTAACATAATTTACACTCATCCATGAGTTTTTCTTATCATTCTACTAGATTTTTAAATTCGCCAAGTGAGTGTTTTAATTTTTGTTCATCTGCAGTACCTAGCATATTTATATACACCCTGTTTTTAGTAAATACATGCTAATTTAAGTTTAATAAGTAAAGCAAGACTTTAATGGCATATGTTTTCATGAAAAGTGGTGGACTCTGTTGCCCAGCAGAAATATTTTTATTTATCTTTGGCTTACTAATCTTGAGCTTCAATCTGTCTGCTATAATGTTTGTTTATATAGTGCATGTGGTTAAGCGAACTCAATTCAAATATGAGTATATGCCTATAACTTAATCCTTTATGTATTCATTTTTACGTTACATTGTATATCTTATCTTTGTTAGCTTTGTGTTACATTTATAGACAATAAAAAGTCTATAGCCACTGTGAAATGGGCTGTACGCCATCATCAATGATTTGAGAGTATTTCTAGTTTTTAAAATATATTTTATAAAAATGTGATAGTTTAACATTTGAATGTGTTTAATGTTTCACATAATTCCTCATTGTTTTTATATTCTTTAAATAATGAATTCATGACAAGTAAATTTTTATTTTGTAATTTGCCCTGCACTTTATCTGAAAAAATTTATACAATTTATATAGGCAATTATTTAATATTTCCTAATTATGCAAGTACTTGTTATAATCACTGTTTAGTTCATTGGATCTATTTATGAGATTACTGAAAATAAGTTATTAGCAAACTGAAATGCTTTAACATAAAAGAATAATAATATAATTATGGGAAGGTAAAGCTTTTATTAATAATGAGGAGTTTTTATATAGGTAAAATATCTACAAAGATATTTAAGTAATTGAGTTACCAAGGACTATATAGTATAACTGACTTCAACATTAAAAAAGGAATTTCAATCTGGAAATTTCTAAGGAAGTAATGTAAAGAGAGGACATCAAAATATTTAAAGCCATGGTGAAGATTTCTCCTTCTATGAAAGTACACACTGCAGAAATTTGGATAACTTAGAACTAATTGAAGTAGCGAGTGACTGAAGTTATAGATGTCAATATTCTCTTGTGTTATATGATTTATTGTCCATCAGATAGTATAACCTACTTTAGAAGGAGTTTGGAGGTGACCATTAATTATGGCTGGGGCCATTCCACAGCCTGCATATTAAATGGTAAAGTTGCCAAGGGGCCTTCAACATATTTTCAGTCTGTTATGGTTTTACTGTATTAGTTCCTGAAATAGTACAATAAAATAATCTTAAAATATTTGAGCTATGTTAAATATATTTAAGGTCAATAAAAGTATGATGTCTTATTATTTTGTGCTCCCATTTCACCCATATTTTTTAAACAATGAGAGTCATAGTTAATGTACAATTTTTGTCTTATATAAACTAATATACCATTAATAGAAAACTAAAAATCTCCATGTTTCATTTTATAGAAGAAAATCTATTAAAAACGTTGAAAACGGGCCTCAAATCTTATCAACTAAAAAATACTAAGGAAGGCATTTTAAATAATAAATAATATGAAGTGGAATCACAAATATCACTGAACAATAATGTTTTTTTTTGAGTGCTTCTTTTATGCGAAGCCATTCTCTGAGTTCTTCACTGTACTTATTTTTCAAAACATCCCAATTGGCTAGATCCAATTATCACCTACATTTCATATATAAAGGAGATGATAAACACAAAAGTTATATCGATTCTTATCGTATTAATATTGCATTGTTACTAAATTACAGAATTAGGATCCAAATATGTTATTCTGCCATCAAACAAGGCAGCACAATGCCTATGATAGATGAAAGAGGGGCTTTTTTTTTCTTGGAGAAACTGGAGGAATTTTCTGATGAGAAGGACCATATATGAAATAAAAAATCTGGTCCAAGCTTTCTAAGCACAAGGAACAGCAAAGACAAAGTCTCTGAGACAAAAATGAGCAGCACATTTTCTAGACACAACACATGAAAGTGATATCTGTGGCTAGACAGTAAATGGTACAAAGTCAAGAGAGAGCAAGTGGTACAAAGTCAAAGAGGGCTTAGTAATGTTTTCTATTTTATTTCCTGTGTAATATTCATCATTAGAGGAAGGATACACATTGCTCTTTAAAATGCCTGTCTGTCTTGTCTTTCAGTTACAGTTGCAACATGGGAAAATAATAGTCATTTTGTAGGATTTCTAGCAAGATCAGTTGAATTAATACACACACACACAAAAAACAGGCTCTGATGCACACTGAATACTCGATAATTAGCAGCTATTATTATTTTCTCATCTGGATGAGGCTCTGAGCAGATCCTCCATCCTTAAAGACATAGGTGTTTATTTCCATAAAATGATAATACTAGCACAATAAAAATAATTGTATACTATGAATCAATAGCATATAAAAGGATAAAAGTTACTTGAAAAATTTAACAAGTTTAAAAAAAGAGCAAACAGTGAAATAAAAAATAAAGCTAAATTTTAATCTATAATAAAAAGGTGTCTAAATACATCCAAAGAAATAAGCAGATATGTTTAATAAAAGAAACACAGACAAGCAAGAAATCAGCAATCAAATATGAACACAAAATAGTTATGAATCCATGTATATCAAATGATTACATGAAAGGGTATCAAATGTATTTGAACCATAATTAGCAATACAGGCATAGTTGCCAAAAACAAAATCATTCTGTTGGACATTAATATATATATAAAGTTAAGTAAAGCCAGAATAAATAAAAATAGATATCAAGAACAATATACACTTCAATTTTATGAACTAATAAACTTCATTATATTAAATTTAAAAATTTTAATAGAAAAAATTATGAACAGCAAATTAAAATCATATAGAGCAATTGGAAATATATTTGCAACTCATGTTATAGACAACATTAATTAGAACAAAAATTATTTTTATCAAGAATTGACTACATCGTTTGATAGTTTCATATTATATATAAAATATTTTAGTCGAGATTATGTGTTTATTTCTAGTTCAAGTATTTTTACTTTAGTGTGAAGCCTTCATATTAACATTATTCTTCATAGAAAGCAAAGTTCTTCAAATATTCTGCAGTATACAGGAAAGGACTCTCATCAACTACATTTTCTATAAATTTACCCTTTATATTTGAATAGTTATGTTTATAAAAAAATACAGAATATTTCTTTAAAACAAAATACAAGGTCAAGTACCCTATTAAATGAGACTTCTTTTTGGTTATTTCTTGAAAAACCATTTGAGATTGATTTTAAAGTAATATTTTAGGAAAAATATACATAGCAAATATTTTAGTTGCATTCCTTTTAACTGCAACAAAGATACAGAATTATTTTGTTTTTTGGGTTTTGTGTTCTGTCTTGTATTAATATAGCTACACATATTTTACCACAAATGTTTATCTCAGTGCAAAATTTTTAAACAATGAAGAAATTCTTAGAATTTTCTGTTGGGTTACTATAACCTGGGGTTATTTATTTACAGGAATGGGGGATAATGTGAACTAGTATCTGAGTTCACATTATCATAAAAATTGCATTAATAAATAGATGTTTTCATACTTAGTAAACTTGAAGACATTTTATATAAGGTCATCAAATTAAGGAAAATAGAAATTTACTTATTTAGAGATAACAGCCTATCAATCTATTGAAATATGGGATTATAGAAGCTCAATGCTAATTTTCAGTAGAGCAATTTTTCTGATTACAGTAAAGTCATCTTGAATATTTTTATATGGCATCTTTGTAACATATGATAGTAAAACTTGAAAAATTTTATTTTGAGTTCAAAGGAACTAGAAATATAAACTAACTATACTTTATTAAATACTTCATGAAAATTATATTTTTTTTGTTTCAAACATATGTTAGCAGCTCTCAGTTTGCTATTTAAGAATATGAAGTCTATACTTTTTGAGTATTTCCTAAATACTTCAAATTAGATCTGGGAGGAGGCCCTGGGGATAGTCAGATGTTAAGTAATGCCTATGATTCAATGTTTCAGACACTGAAGTTTGGTGGTTTCATGCTCCTGGGTTTTGAGAACTCTTCAGCTTCCTAAAATGTGGTTCTTGTTAACAAAAACCTTCTTGCTTTAAATTCTGAGTCTCTGATCCCATTTGCACCATAAAGAAGACTAAAAAATTTTAAGGGTGACTAAATCTATATGATAAATGAAAACTACATTGATGTTAATAAAAGTTAGGCACAATAGTTATAAAAATATTTAGCATAATTCTACTATTAACTTGCAAGAGTACTGAATAACTCATATATTTGAATAAATGAGATGTCTTCTTCACCATATCTTAGGTATATCAAGAAAAATTGAGTAAATATGTCTGTGTGTGTGCTTGTGTGTGTATGTATGTGTTTGTGTGTGTGTGTCAAATCTCACACTTATCTTTATAAATCCACAGGATGCTTTTTAGTACTTATCTTAATTGACCTATGTCTTCTCCATTATCTCAGTACTTTTGAATTTTCCTCCTCTGTTAGCATTTCACCTTAGTACCTTCTGATTTTAGATTCACATTGCCACTTTAAAAATGTACTTGTTACTTCCCTGTCTTCTGTTCTCAACTCTTTTCTCTTTATTCTTTCTTTTCTAGATTAAAATTCTCCATAATTTTCTTATTTATTCTCCCACTTTGCTGACCAGCTTTTCATGCTGTATTCGAGTCCACTCCCTCTATACTTCCCTATTTCTGAGTGTATCCTTTTGTTCTGGTATTTGTTTATATTCCTTCTTGGATATAAACTATATATTTTTATTTTTGCTGCGGACATATCTTTCTTTAGAAAAACATGATAAAACTACTTCATAACTTAAATGGGCATGACATAATAATATAAGCTTTATTATTAATAAATAATATATGTCTCTGTTTTTAGTGACGGTGGAACATTTAATTTTGCCATGTGAGGTAATCTGTGTATTTTTATTTAAAATAAAGTCTCTGTAGAGTACAATTTCAGCCTAATTCAATTTAATCTCATTGAATTCAGCCATTAAACTCTATTATAGAACTGTTCCTAGGTGTTTGTGTAGACGTAAATGAACGTCCACAATTTCCTCCCTGTGGTGCACCTCAATATAGGAAAATGCTTGCAAATATGATCACATCAGAGCAAGAAGAAGCTGTCTGTGTACATTTTCTTGGCCTTTACCAGCCTCTGCTGACATGTCTCCTTCATTTTGTTCGTTGGGTTTTGTCTTCTGTCTTGTCTTTTTCTTACTGATTCTAGTCATCCATAATTTTAAGGCAAAGCAAATTTAGTGATTTCTTTGGAGGAGATAAACAATCTGCTCTTTGCTTTTTTCCCCAAGGGTTTCCTCAACCCTTCCTGACTGCAGATTATTTGAGGTCCATTTGGGTTTCTTTCCAGCTAAAATTTCCCACACTGAAGTGTCTTCTATTTGACCTCTTGTCCCAGGATGCTGTGATTCTTGACTACAAGTTTTGCTCTTCTGAATGGTGCATAGAGATATTTTCAAATACTTTTTCATTCCATAAGAGAGTTTGAAGAGTTTTAGGGATATGGAGAGGAACATAGACCTTCTTTGCTGAGACATACTCTACCTTTGTGTGTCTACCTTGACGTGTCTCTTACTGCTGCTCCCCTGTGTTGCTGCAGGATAAATGTAAGGCAATCTCCTTCCAGAGGCCTAGGAGGAATTTGGGATTCAGGATACCCCATGCTTCTGGATTCTTCCTCAAATGATGTGGGCTTTCTATCGACTTATTACCTAGATACCCTGACTGGAACTGTGCCTCCTTCTTAGAAGCCCTGATAGCCTACAAGTACCAGACACTTTTCCTCAGATCCTCTCCAAACTTTTCTTCAGGTTAGACATGACTTTTAATTGCTTACTGTGTGGCAGTAAAATAATTTCATGGAATATATTCCATTATGTCCATCATCACAGTTAGCTTCTAGGAATTCTAGTCTTTTAGTTTTTGATCAATATGAGTGTAAAACAAGCCATATCTTCCCCAAGTGTCTAGCTATCACAAATAAAATTCTTCTGATATCAGACTGATTGCTGTGAATTTATCTAACATTTTATTTAATTTAGTTCTTGTAGATATTCTGAGCCACTTGTCAGAGGTAATTAGTGCTACTGGCTCCAGGAATGAAAGGTTATAAAATTTAAAAAAAAAACTAGCCAAGAAAAAAGTTTCAGTTTAAAATGTTTAAGTGTTATTACATTGGCATGATGAAAAGCTTCGGTCTAATCTCTTAGAGTCACTAAGAGAGTCTAAGACTCGTTTTATAAGTAGCTCTCTCTCTGTCCCTCTCTTCTCTTATAATCCCTACTTCACATCAGTTAACAGGGTATGATCCAACTATACTATATGCTATTTTATAATTATTCACTTAAAATTTTTTTTCTGATGTCCTTGCATGCTCATTCATCTAGAATATTTTCATTTATTTTTCCAGGAGTGTTAGCCACCAAATTAGCACTTCTGACAGAGATCACAACCAAAGTCATACTACAGTAGGGATGCTGCCTATGGTTTCTGGAGAGAATGCCTATCTCCAGCAATCATTTCACTCAGACAGCCACCACCATCTTTTATGTTCTGAGTTAGTTCCAGTGTGCTTCACTTTCCCTTTACTGCAATAACCAAAGTTATCTAATTTTATCTAACTGTCCTCATACAGCCTCACATATCTTCTACCAAACCCAGCTCCAGATTTCTCTCCAGCTTAAAGGTACCCAGTTACTTTGAAAGTCTTCATCTGGGATCAGGTATTTTCACAATGTTAAAATTCATTCCTAAGAATTTTTTCCTCCCCTTTGTCTTTCCTGTAAATTAGCTGTATTATTAGATCACAATCTCCCTTGCATTTAATTCAAGTGAATTTTTTTCTTTCATCTCTTGCTGCTTGTATCTCTTTTTCTTATTTATCTTACATAACTCTTCACTAATATACCCAAAGGCACAAGTTAAGATATTCTCTTCTTTTCTCCATCTATATATCCAAAATCTTTTCCCATATTTATATAAAAAGAGAAAACAGAAGCCAACAGAAGAAAAAAGAACAAAAACCTCTTTTCCTTTGAAGCTCATGTTGTAAGTGTCTATCAGCTTCTCACCGCATCCTGGTTGCTAGATCCTATCTTTTGGATTTCCTCCTCATTGCCACTCCTGTCACATTTTTTTTTTTTTTTGTGATATCTATATCCATGTGGCTAATTCCTATTAAACCACATCTAGAATGAAGTTCTGTTGACTGAGATATGATAAGACTTATCAAATATCATAGTGTAGCTGAGATCAATAAATACAGGAAATTAGTAAAACTATGCCCTGGGATTTTTTGTACACTCACCCCCTTTAAAGGTATTTTAAAAGGGTCAGAGTACACAGTGAAAAGGGATTTTTGTGAAGACACAGCTTTGAAGAAATCTTCAGTTTTTAGTACCACCTCTTCTCCTTCAAAGAAGGGACTTCTATCATGCTACTCAAATACTTGAAACAGGATTCTTATATCTGGTGGCCTCACCACTTATGGGTAAACTAAGTAATGGGTTGTACAGGGTAACCTTTTCTGTATAAAGAACTTTTCCAAATCTCATTGGATTAAATCAATAAGAATTTATTATCACTCACAAGTCAATGTGTCAAATGTGTGGTTTTTCATGTCTCAGTTAGGCTTACCTTATATCTGTGAGTTGAGCAGTCAGTTCCGCTAATATTGGTTACATAATGTTTCTTGAGTGTGGATTGGTTGTCTGTAGGCTGCACAGAGGATGGTCTTCGCTGATAAAACTTGTTTTTTAATTCATACTATCTTTCATCCCCCATTAAACTAGCCTGGTTTGTATCCATGTCAGTTTCAGAATTCTAAAAGAGAGCGATACTGTTCAAAACGTCTTAAGGCCACAACAAGGACCTGGCACACCATCAATTTTCCTATTTTTTTAAAATCTAAACTAAGCAACCATAAAGCCTAGCTTTAATGTGGGATGGTATTAACACCGGGAAGCATGAAAAATTGAACTGTTGTAGGATGTGAGCTGACAAACTGCTTAACCATTGGAGTAAAAAGAAAAAAAAATACTGTGGCTTTGAGATCAGCCTGTATATTCAAACTTTAAGAGAACCATGAATATTTGAATGTTTTACTTGTACTCATTTGTCCCCAGAAGAATTAGAGTCATTCTAGGGTCATCTTGGAATCTGTGAAACAGGACAAAAGACCTCGGATGCAAGAATCTAGAGGTACATGGCAGATTTTGAAAGGACACAACAGGAGTCTCAAAGGACTACTTAAATAAAGATAAATCTGGTCAGATCAAATTTTAGAAACTCAAGAAAAAAATAACGAGATAAAGAGTTAGTCTACAAACATCTGCCAAGTCCAGAGATCTAGAAGCCATTCATCAGTTGTCAAGTCAAGGGAAGGAGACAAGAACAGTAAGTTAATATCTAATCACAAACACAACCTGTATCAATAGATTTATATCAATACACGATTATATATATATATCAAATGGGTTCTCAAAAGTGTCTAATGATGCTATTACATTTCCCTGATTTTCATTTCTAAAACTCCAAGCTAAGTATTTCAGACATTGCTAACTCTCCTTCTGCTTATGCCATTACATAGTCTTTGATGATTATCTTGCTTCAAGCAACATTAAAAAAATAGAAGCCCCCAGATAAGATACCCTGTTATCATCTCGCCTCCGAATCATGACTACCCCCACTTTGGCATCTGCAGCTTCCTTCCTCTTCCTCCCATTTGTTTCCAACTAAATGCATCTTTCTTTCTATTTTCATGTTTGTTCTAAAAAACAAACAAAAAACCTGGGATACGTGTGCAGAACGTGCAGGTTTGTTACATAGGTATACTTGTGCCATGGTGGTTTGCTCCACCTATTGACCTGTCCTCTAAGTTCTCTCCCCTCAACCCCCACCCCCTAACCCCTGTGTGTTGTTCTCCTTTCTGTGTCCACGTGTTCTCATTGTTCAACTCTCCTTATGTGTGAGAACAGGTGGTGTTTGGTTTTCTGTTCCTGTGTTAGTTTGCTGAGGATGATGGCTTCCAGCTTCATCCATGTCCTTGCAAAGCACATGATCTCATTCCTTTTTATGGCTGCATAGTATTCCATGGTGTGTGTGTGTGTGTGTGTGTATATATATATATATATATATATATATATATATATATATATATACCACATTTTCTTTATCCAATCTATCATTGATGGACATTTGGGTTGGTTCCATTTCTTTGCTATTGCAAATAGTACTTCAATAAACATATGTGTGCATGTGTCCTTATAATAGAATGATTTATATTCCTTTGGATATATACCCAACAATGGGATTCCTGGGTCAACTGGTATTTCTGGTTCTAGATCCTTGAGGAATCACCATACTATCTTCCACAATGGTTGAGCTAATTTACATTCCCACCAACAGTGTAAAAGCTTTCCTATTTTTCCACGGCCTCACCACTATTTATTGCTTCCTGACTTTTTAATAATCGCCATTCTGACTGGCATGAGATGGTATCTCATTGTGGTTTTGATTTGCATTTCTCTGATGATCAGTGATGTTGAGCTTTTTTTCACGTTTGTCAGCTGCGTAAATGTCTTCTTTTGAAAAGTGTCTGTTCATTACCAATTTTTTGATGGGTTTTTTTTATTGTAAATATGTTTAAGTTCCTTGTAAATTCTGGATATTAGACCTTTGTCAGACAGGTAGATTGCAAAAATTTTCTCCAGTTCTCCAGAGTGTCTGTCCACTCTGATGATAGTTTCTTTTTCTGTGCAGAAACCCTTTAGTTTAATTAGATCCCATTTGTCAATTTTGACTTTTATTGAAATTGCTTTTGGTGTTTATGCATCTTTCCTTCTATCAATAGCCAATCTTCCCATTTGTGCTCTTGATCTTCTTTCTCATATCAAGGGATAGATTTCTTCACCTATCCACTTTCACTTTTAAATTATCAAGCTCTGCCTTTTTCCTGATGCATCCTACAAAGAAACACATTAACTCTGAATTCTCCTGTTCGAAAAAAAAAATCAAACCAAATCAAACTAAAAACAAAAACAAAATGATAATAATTTTTCTTTGATTCCACCTCCGTTTGCCACAATTTCATGTTCTATTTCTTTGCTTTTTCTAACTGTAAATTTCAAAATTGTTGTCCCCAATTTTTCCATATCAATTCACTTTTAACCCACTATGATCTGGTTTATATATTCTGTTCCAATGAGTCCATAAAAATAGCTTTTGTAAAGGACTCCAAGGGTTTTCATTGAAAAATCCAGTGGACATTTTTCTGAACTCATTTTATTCTGCCACTTGGCAGCTTTCCAGAGAATTGACCTTTACCTCCTTTCTAAAATGTTCTCTTGGTTTCTAGGAAACTTCAACTATCTATTAGTGTGTCTCCTTTTCATTTTTTTCTCTAACATTTCTTCTTGACTCCAACCTTTCCACTATGCTTCTCAAAGATGCAACACCTCAGATTATGTGAAAGGAATTTTCTCTACTCCATCAACCTTCTCTTCTTAGGTAATTTTGCCATTTCCCATATCTCTAAATAGCATACATATTCTGATAACATTCTAACAACTCTGTGTTTTAGATCTCTCCTGTGAACTCCCCACTTATTTATTCTATTGCCTATTTGGCATATCTGATTCAATGCTTCATAGCCATGTCTAAATTAATACATGTAAATGCAATTAGTTAATCTCTCCTAGCCCATCCCAAACTTATTTTTCCTTCAGTTCTAGTAAAGCTATCAAATTTATTAAGCCAGATATAATAACCCATAATAAACCCAATAATTTCCTCACTTTTCTTTCAATCCATCTGCAAATTCTATCAGTTCTATTCTTAGAATAAATATTGTATATGTTTACTTCTCTACCCTCTCTACTGCTGTTATTCCAGGCCAAATTACCACCATGTACTTGCTATGAATTGCATTATGTGAGCCTCCTAATCTGTATTTCTATTTCCAATTTTCCCTACTTCCAAATTATTCTACACGCACCAGCCGGAATAATGATAAATTACTAAATTAGGTTATATCTCCCCTCTACTTAAATCCCTAAAATAATAATAGGAGTCATTCTTTTTACTATAGACTACAATGACTCACTGCACTTCTTCAGTTATCCAGCATCATTTTATTCCCCACCTCCTATGATTACTTTACTCCAGTGGCACTGGCCTGACACAACGGAAAGGCTTGTTTACTGGTCTTCTTGAAGCTCTTATATTGTTCCAAGCTCTGCTAGAAGTCAGAACCTCTGTACCTACCCTTTCTATGCATGGAATTGTCTTAACATTTCAAATAGCTGGTTCTTTCCAATATTTTTGAAAACCACCGCCCAGTTCTGTTTAGATGAAGGACATGATGTAACTCATATCTTTAATAGATCCTTCTGTCTTCTCTAGGGAGACCTTAGAATTGTATTGTATTGTTTGTCAATGTCTATAGGGCAATCAGAAAATTCTGACAGCATTAAGGAGCAGGGTAGAAATAGAGTGCAGAGAAGGATTAATTACTCTTTACTAGAGATTGATAAGTAGACACCCAGTTGTAACTAAATAAAAAAATTTGCCCTAGTACTGCCAAGGACTCTTTTTCTTTTTGTCCTCTTGATTCTCAGCCTTTTTATTCATGACTTATATCAGTGGAACAGTGACTTTTTTTTCTACTAGATCATTTTACATCAATTATAAAAAGTGTTCTCTTTCTGACATTATTCAAAATAGAGAAAGAATATGTTATATCCATTAACTCAATCTTCATTTTTTGTTCACTTCTACAGAAATGTGAAATTTAGATATTTAAATTACTCTCTTGAAATAAGCCTCTGCAATACACCCATTGTCTTTTGCTCAGAGAATTATGTCTCCCTTCATATTCTTGGCAGATGTTCTCCAATTCATCTTTTTAATTTTCATTATTCTGTTATGTGAAGTGTGTCTGTTATTTTGTTGGTGGTTGGTAAATGTACATAAAAGCTGGACTTGAAAAAGTCTCTACACTTACAGAGGTGGAGACTCAAACCAGGCCCACCCCATGGATTCAGGCACCAGGCCAGTTTTCATGCTAGGATAGTTCTGCAGCCTCAAGCTCAAAGCCTGCCCCAGTATAAAGTCAGCCACCATGGATCTAAGCTTTAGCCCCCAAATACACAGACTCAAAGCCCATCCCACAGACTTAACATTCCTAGCATGTCCCTATGAACTCTGTAGACAAACCTACCACACTGGACCCAGATGCAGGCCTGCATGAATAGATTCAAGTTGCAGGCCCATCCCAGTGGACTTAGGGTCCAGGCCCAACCCTGTAGACCCAGCCAGCAGGCTGGCCTTTGTGGACCCAGGTGTCAGGCTCACTGACCTGCTTACGCAGGCATCGGGCCAACCCACCTGAAGACTCCAGCTTCAAGCCTTCCCTTGGACCTCACAAATGGTCAGTCCAGAATCTGAGCATGTTGACTTGCAAAGGGCTTTTTCTATTAAAGTCAGCCTGTAAAAACTAGAAGTGCCTAATTATTCAAACATAAAAACACCAATGCAAGACCATAAGGATCAGAAATAATCATAGAAACATGATATTACCAAAACCATAAAACATGATTAACCAACCCCGAATAAATGGAACTTATGAACTCTCTGACAAACAACGAAAAATAATCATTTTAAATAAGCTCAGTGAGCTACAAGAGAACACGGATATACAAATAAAAGAAACCAGAAAAACAAAACATGAAGAAATAGAAGTTCAATAAAGAGATAGAAATCATAAAAAAAGGGTAAACAAATTCTGAGCTGAATCACTCAACAAGGGAACTAAGAAATTCCATAAAAACTGCTATGATTTGAATGTCCCCTCCAAAACTCACATTTAAAAATAATTGCTAATGTCATGTTATTGAGTTGTAGAATCTTTAAGGGGTGATTAGGCTATGAGGGTTCTACCCTCATAAATTGATTAATGCCATTATCATGAGATTGGTTTGGTTATTGTGGGCATGAGCTCCTAATAAAAAGATGAGTTTGGTCCAATTTGTCTCTCTCATTCACCATTGTATCCCTTTTTCCATGCTGTGATGCAGCAAGAAGGCCCTCACTGGATGTGGCCCTTTGATCTTGAACATCCCTGCTTTCAGAACCAATTGCCAACTAAACTTCCATTTTCTATAAGCTACCTAGCTTGTGGCATTCTGTTTTAGCACCAGAAAATATACCAAGACAAAAAGCTAAAACAGCAGAATTTATCAAATAAAAGAAAGACTTAGTAAATTCAAAGACAGGTCATTTGAAATGACCTAGTCCAAAGGACGAAAGGATAAAAAAAAAATGACAGAGTGAAGATAGCCTACAAAACTTACAGAACATCAAGAAAGCCAATATATAAATTACAGGAGTCCCTTAAAGATTAGTAAAAAGAATGAAGAAAAAAGCTTATTGAAAGAAATATTAAGAGAAAACTTCCTAGATCTAGTGAGGGAAATAAATATTATAAGCAAATAAACTCCCCCAAACCCCAAATAGATTAAATATTTTTAAAAATTCGCCAAGATCATATTATGATCAAATTCTCAAAAGCCAAAAACAGAATTTTGAAAGCAGCAAGAGAAAAGCAACCTGTCACAAACAAAAGAACCTCCATAAGACTATCAGGTGTTTATAAGCAGAAACCTTTTAGACCAGGAGAGAATGGGATGACATAGTCAAAGCGCAGGAAAAAAAAAATGCTGCCAATCAAGAACAGTATACCTGGCAAGGCTATTTTTCAGAAATGAAAGAGAGATAAAGATTTTCCCAGACAAACAAAACGTGAGATATCACTAGTAGACCTCCATTAAAGAAATGCTAAAGATAATTCCATAACTTGAAATGAAAGGATTTCAAATACAATGTGAAAATATATACAAGTGGACAACTCATAGTAAAGGTAAAAATAATATAAAAATCATAATACTTTAATACTGTAGTGATATACATAAATGATTTTAATTCTAGTACAAATGTGAAAAGACAAAATTATTAAAAATAACTACAATATTTTTAATGAATACATGATATATAAAAGATGCAAATTGTGACATCCGTAACATAAAATGTGAGGGGAGGAGAATTTGAAAAGCAGAACTTGAACTTCTTTTTATATAAACTAACTTAAGTTGTTATGAGTTTCTTAAGTTGTTATGAGTTTAAGACATACTGTTATAACTAAGCTTTTATGTATGCCACCTGGTAACTACACATACAAATTCTTTAGTAGATACTGAAAAGAATTAAAAAAATAAGTCAAAGCCAACCACTAAAAAACCATCAAATAATAAAGGAAGATAGTAAGGGTGGAAGGACGGAACAAAGAAACTATAAAACAGTCACAGTAAAAATAACAAAATCGCAATAGTAAGTCCTTACCTCTCAATTACTTTAAATATAATTGGATTAAATCGTCCCATCAAAAGACATAGATTTTCTGAATGGATAGAACAACAACCATCATCACAACAAGATACAACTATATGCTAATAAAAGATGTCCTTTAGTTTTAAGAACACATAGGCTGAAGTTGATGAATTAAAAAAAAAAATCCCATGCAAATGGTAACCAAAAGAGAGCATGATTGGCTATTCTTATATCAGAGAAAGAATAAACCTAAGTCAACAACTGTAAAAGAGACAAAGAAGAGTATTATAACATTTATAAAAGAGTATATTCACAGAGAGGATTATATCATTGGAATATTCATTCCCTTCAAAAATCACATTGAAATTTAATCTCCAATGTGTTAATATTGAGATGTGAGATCTTTAAATATTGATTGGATTATGAAACCTTTGCCCTCATGAATAGATTTATTCGTTCATTCATTAATGGGTTAATGTGTTGATGGATTAATGGGTTATCATGGAAGAGAACAGGTGGCTTTATAAGAGGAGGAAGAAAGATCTGAGCTAACACATATTCAGCCCCTCCATCTTGCAATATACTGCACCACCTTCAGAGTTTTTACAGTCTCCACCAGAGAGAAGGCTCTTACCAGGTGTGGCCCCCTTGATTTCTCTGCTTCAATAACTGTAAAAAATAAATTCATTTTTTCTGTATGAATTACCCATGTTGAGGCATTCAGGTATAAGCACCAGGAAATGGACTAAAAGAGAAGATAGCTATCTATCTATCTGTCTAGATATAGATACATAGAGATATAGATACCTATAGATACATATCCATAGGTAGATATCTATATATCTATGCCACCAAAACTATCTACATTGATATATATATATATATAGATGCAGATATATTAGAGACAGACATATCTATCTATAGATAACTTTATAACATACTTCTTTGTTACCATGAGGCATACATCTACAGATAGATAGATCGATCGATAGATAGATAGATGGATAGATAGATACTAGATAGATAGGGAGATAGATATGTCACCAAAATTAAAGCACCTGAATATATAAAGTGAACTAAAAAGATAAATCAAAACTGAAAAGATAAATAGCAATACAATAGTAGAAGACTTTAATATCCCATATTAAACAAAGGATAAATCATTTAGACAAGACGTCAATAAGAAATCTGTAGAAATGAATAACTATAGACCAAATATACCTAACAAACACATACAGACTATTCCATCCACCAGCAGCACATTACACATTGTTTTCAAGCACACACAGGACATTCTCCAGGATAGATTATGTGTTAGGAAAAAGAAAACAAGTCTCAACATACTTAAAAGTATTAAAATCATAGTAAGTATTTTTTCATAAATAATTGTATAAAACTAGCCATAAATAACAGAAGAGAAATGGGAAAATTCACAAATATGTGGAAAATAAGCAATGCACTCATGAACAACTAATTGATCAAGAAAGAAATCAACAAGGTAATTAAATAATATCTTGAAACAAATGAAAATAGAAATACAACACATCAAAAGGTATAAAATGCAGAAAAAATTCTAAGAATTAACTTTATAGAAATAAATGCTTACCTTAAGAAAAGAGAAACTGAGATTGAAAGAGTAATTACAGAGTCTAGGAGTGGAGCAATGGTTAGAGGGTACAAAATCTTAGACAGGAGGAATATGTTTTATTCTCCTTTTTAGATATATTGCAGAGCATGACTAATACTATTGATACAGTATATTTCAAAATTCTAATTAAATTTAAAATGTTCTCACCATAAGACATGTAAGGTATTTGAGGTGACGTATCAATTCTTCTACATTATATTCATAAATCATAACATCACTTTATACTCCATAAATACATACAGCCTCCTGTACATAAATATATAGACAATTATGAATTGTCAATTTCCAATAAAAATTAAAACTAAAATTAAAATTTTGTCAGAAATAAAATTTGGATCTAACTCTTCTTTTATCAATTGGTAAAGTTTTATCAGTAAGTTATACTGCCACTTTACTAAATTCTAAAATGAAAGGTATAAGATCTTTGTATGTGTGCATATGTATATATATATGCGTGTGTGTGTATTTATGTGTGTTTATGCATATGTACATGTATTACATTGTGTGTTGTGTCTACATGTTAGTATCTGGCATAATCATCCAGAAACCCCTTAAGAAATTCTATTCGGATTGGCTTAGATAAGTGAGTGCCCATATAAATTATGAAAATATATAGTGAGTAAGCAAATGCCTTTAGTTCATATGACTTAAGAAAACTTTTCTTTAATAAGCTAGTTTTAAATTTGTTGATAAAATAAAAATATTTTCAGAATTCTCAGCGTAGGTTTTTGCCTGGGTTTACTATTCACACAGAATTACATTTGCCTCTTCTAATTGTTTTAAGGTAACACAACTACAACTGCACTCTAAAAAGAGAATAAGCTTTGTTTTTGTAACTTTGATAAGTAAGACTAGTTTAATATTTTTGGCTTGATGAAAACAGTTGTTTCTTCTAAGTTTTTGGCAAAATACTTATTTCTATAACTATAAGGAATTTACTTAGGTGAATACCTGATATTCCCCAGCTATAAAAATAGTTAACAGAGAAATAACTTAGAATGATGACTAGCTTTGTGTCATATCTCAGTTTTAACAAGTGATATAGTTATAGTTGTTAACAATACATTTGGTGAATGAAAATGGGAAAACCTTTACTAATAAACTTTTTATATGATTTGAATTCTTAAAATTATATTTTCTTATGTTAAGTAATGGATATTCATTACACTTCTAGATAATTTTCAAATAAGGTAGAATACTAAAACATAAACTAATGTATAAATATAAATATGTTCTCACTTAAATTTTATAGGAAGACTAAATATATTTGGGTCTATTAATACACAACATTTTTCTCACAGGGAAATAGGTTTCTAATATTTTAAAGATGAATATATGTGACAGACAGTTCAAAATTTTTTGCTTCCCTTGTTTTCTTTTTCCTTTTTTCTTTTTTTTTTTTTTTGAGATGGAGTCTCACTCTGTCCTTCAGGCTGGAGAGCAGTGGAGCAATCTTGGCTCACTGCAAGCTCCGCCTCCCAGGTTCACGCCATTCTCCTGCCTCAGCCTCCCGAGTAGCTGGGACTACAGGTGCCCGCCACCATGCCTGGCTAATTGTTTTTGTATTTTTAGTAGAGATGGGGGCTTCCCTTGTTTTCAATAGAAATTACAGTTACTAACAGTTAAAAATTCTAATTAATAGATAAAATTTTGTATACAAAGTCTACCAAAAAAGTAAGATGTGTTTTTGAAGAAAAAATTATTGCAAAGGTATAAACATGTAGGTGTTTTGGGAATTTTTTTTCCGAAATTCAGATGGTATTTAAAGTTGTTTCAAAGAGTAATTTTAGGAAAGAAATAGAAAAAATATATAAAGAAACAAGGACCATATACAGTGGCTCACACCTGTATTCTCAACACTTTGGGAGGCTGAGGTAGGAGGATTGCTTGAGGCCAGGAGTTCAAGACCAGCTTAGGCAACGTAGCAAGACCCTGTCTCTAAAAACAAACAAACAACAACAAAAAAGTTATAAAAGGAAAAAAGAAGTACATAGGAGATAAGGGAAAGATGTGAAAAAAGTTATAAGTATTAAGATGTATTTTTGATTAGGAGATTTCAAATAAGACCTTAATTTTTCAAAATGATTTAAAAAAAGGGAGTAAATTTTTCAAAAAGCAAAATGACTGGTTATTAAAAAAAAAAAAAAAGAAAATATAGGACCAAATTAAAGGTCTAAGCACATCATAAAAAGTGTAAGTACATCATGAAAAGTAATGAATAACAAATTTATGAGAGAAATTTGTGTCTGATCAAGCCAGCTATAATTAAAAGAGAATTATTTATAAGTCTTTCTAAAGATTGAACTTTGAGATATGTACACACACATACTGATACAGAATTAAAATTGTGGTCCCCTATGTTAGAACAACAAGGTTTTCTTGAATTATTGATATTTCCTTATATAAAATTGCCAAGAGGTTTTGATTTAATATGCAATTGGTTTTCCACCATCATCTGAACTGCAACTTTACAGTGTAGATCAATGTTTTCCTCCAGTATAACTTGATTTTGTACTCTTGGCTTTTACTTTTGTATTTGAATTCTTCCATGTAATCAGAAAATCTTCCTTGCTTTTACTAAAAATCATCTACGCCCCTGCTTAAAGTAATAGTTTTCTTGTTTACATTCCCAATAAATATGGCAAATTGTACATGCATAACCTTAGACATACATTCTTTTTGAGTCTGATTAAATTTAAGTGCCTCTTCATTAGGTTCAACTTTCAAATTATCTAAATGGGCTTTTTATAAGGAGAACCAATCACAGTAGAGGAAATTTTTTTTATCATTTTGGTAACTAGCCTGAGAAACAAAGATTTTTTAATCTTTCCAAGATAATTTCCTGTGTTTCATGTTGGTCTTATTGGGTTTCTTTGATTACTTAGGAAAAAATGAGCTTTGAAATGGTTAAGGTTTGTTTGTTTTCACATATATGTAACTTTCTTTATTGTTCTAAAAATCCTTCATCACTCTGGTTAAGTGAATGACTATTATATCCCAAAGACATGTGATTCTATTTGGGAGAAGTGTTTTAAACTTTTTGACATTTTGCAGGCTTCCCAAGATCAAGTTCTAAATTAAGTCATTTTTTATCTCAAACTCATTTCACAGAGCCTAGGAACTTTTCAGTTGTATAAAAGAGTTATAAAACAGAGTTATCAAATAAAACAACTTATTTGAGATGTTGAATTATACATGAATCTTTATCAAATGATGAGTGATGCCAGATCTTTCAGTTATATTTATGAATATATTATTGAATTAATTTTCCAAAATTGTATAAAATTTTTAAAGATCTAATATGCCATCAGTCATAATTCTAGTTACTATGTTGTTTGCCAAAAATAACTGTATTTTCTTATCAATTTTGAACTCATCAGATTTTTAACCATGGCTAACATAAAATTTTGTCATCTACATTTACTGTTTTAATTTTTCTCTGAAAGCATCTATGATTAGATTCAGAGAAAAGCCTCTAACAATTACTCTTTAATACACGTTTCTGATAACTTTAAGAACATACCAATAGATAAAGTAAAAATTTTCAAAACTCTAATGAAGAAACTGATGGATACATAAAATTGTGAATCAAGATTTAGCAAATATTTTAATTCTACAAGATTGTATAACTGCTGAATATAATGTTTTTACAACTTTTGTTTGTTTTTGAGCCTGAGTCTCGCTCTGTCGCCCACGCTGGAGTGCAGTGGCGCCATCTCCGCTCGCTGCAAGCTCCGCCTCCCGGGTTCACGCCATTCTCCTGCCTCAGCCTCCACAGTAGCTGGGACTACAGGCGCCCGACACCACGCCCGGCTAATTCTTTGTATTTTTAGTAGAGACGGGGTTTCACCGTGTTAGCCAGAATGGTGTTGATCTCTCGACCTCGTGATCTGCCCGCCTCAGCCTCCCAAAGTGCTGGGATTACAGGCGCCAGCCACTGCGCCCGGCCTGTTTTTAAACTTTTCTTTGTAACATTCTGTGATCCTTAGTTAAATGTTTTGTTTTCCAGATTTATGACGTTTTGTCTTAAGCTATCTATAATTTACATCAATTTGGTAAAGTTTACTTTTTAAACAAAAGTGATAACATTTACTTCTCCCTACTTGATCTTTCCAACATTCAGAATGTATTCATGAGTATTCTTATTTCTATGGCAATATCAGTTTTTGCATAAGTTCAATAAGAATCTGCTCTCTTTAGTACAGGATATAGTTGAACACACTGGTTATATTACCAAGGTTTTGACCGAAATGCCATAATTTAAATTGTTTATAAGTATTGCAGGCAAAATCTAAAGTCTACATTTATTTCATATCCTAGTTCCAAGACGTTCTTAAATTTGAGATTTTGATGTAATTAATACCTACCTTGCTGCCCTTATGTAAATAATCTGACCAAAACTGATGAAACTAAACTTATTTTACAAATTTCTTTTACTCATATTATCTTTGGTAGAAATTGAGATATCAATGGAGAGAAAAGCTATTTTCTAAAGAAAAGCTATAATACATCTGCTATTAGACTGTAGCACTGTGCACTGTTTTCAAGGTTTTATTATCTATCTGTAGAGTAGACTACATCCTGAATTCTTCTAGGTTGCTGCAATCTAACTTTATTCTGTGAAATTAGTAAAAACAGAAACTACTCTGGTGCTAAAGCCCTATAAGCTGAATGAATTTTAATAAATAAGTCTTGTGCCTGATACATGGACCACACAGAGTGCTCACTGAACTGCCTGCTGTCATAACAAGATATATTCAAAATGCAAACCAAAACAAGAAGTTGATGGTTTCACACTGTAGACAGCTTTTCCTAAGATGGCAGAGTAGGATTCCATATCATAATGAGATTCTTATCTGTCTTCCTGCCTACATTTTTTTACTTGGCAAAATAATGGTATAATTGAAATTTTAAAACTAATTGCTTCCACTGGTAACTTTATAGCATCTTACCTAAGAGATTCTTTATTCCACCTAATGAGTAATTTCGGCAACATCCCTAATACGACTATTGCTCTCTCTCTGCTTTAATTCAACCCAGTCATGGGATACTAGATGATAAAATTGCTGCATATTGGTTAAATAAGAAAATGTCTGGGCTATTGCTAATACTACATCGTGTACCACAATAAATTCCTCTGGGAAAGTTGCGACCTATATACACAAATAAGAAAACAGGCCACATAATGACAATAGGTCTCACGTAATTTCTCATGTCATTTGATTTATTAAATTGTTGTTTTAAATTCTAGGTTCATGGCTCAAAACTATCATGTAAATGGAGATGATCTTATTACTATTAATTTTACTTTGTGTGTGTGTGTGTGTGCATGTGTTAATTTTGTACGTTAGTTGTAAAATTTCTGCAGAACTACAACTCCTAACAGAATAGCGCTCACCTGGAACCCTAAGATGAAAGTCAACTGCTATGGAACAGGCAAAATGAAACTTAACAATGGACTCCAGGTAGACCTAGCCCTAACCTGAGAACCACTTCCTCCAGTGGTCCCTTAATACTCAAATGTGGCTAAAAGTGACACTGACTCTTATTTGCCAATTATGCCCTCCAATATGAAACAAATCAACAACCTGGGAAAGATCCATCCCCACACCAAGGGACAATCAAAGGCTCACTACAGGATAACTGGTCAGTGATACTTTTAGAAAAAAAAAATGTTAACCAAAAAAAAAAAAGAAAGAAAGAAAAAGAAATGTGAAAGTTATAAGAATTAAAATGGTCACTTGTGTTAAAAAAAAATGAGTGGAGCCCGGGGAGGCTATAAGGTAAGGTTCTCATAGATGAACATCTGATAAAAAGAATTATCACAAAAGACTGTAAAAACCACAACCTTGTACCAGGGCAATCAAAACTTTATACACAAAATGATACTTCTGTGAGGACATCTGCTCAGCAACTGCCTGTCTAAACTTGGACTGGTGCCACCCTTGTTATTGATCTTTGTAGCAAGGATAATTACCTCAAAACAATTATGTAAATCCTCCTCATTTTTTTCTTTAAAAACCTTTGGCTTCCCTTTCCTCCCTCAGTATGTATATAGTTTAATATGGCATGCATATTCACATTGTAACAGCCACTTCTAAATAAATATCATTTTCTTTTAGAGAGCTTTTCTTTGTCTGTTATTTAGGTTGACATCCACATCATATTTTAGACCTGCTATACAAACATCAGAAGTAGTAGAAACCTTGGAAAATCAGAAATACTAAACAGATTCACATTCATTTACATTGGATTTACTTTTAGCACAATATGCATACACAATATGGGTTAAAAATTTTCTGTAACTATCGATTTGCAAACTCTTGTTCCGAGACAGAAGGACTTTGCTGGCGTAGGACACTTTGGGTTCTAGGACTAAATCCACCGCTGTTAGGTTGTATCATTTAGCCCAACTAGAAGAGTTCATTCACCTGTAAAATTAGCTGGTTTAAGTAGGAAATCTCATTGCAAGTGATTTTTGAGTAGGAAATCTCATTGCACGTGAAGAGCTGAGTAAAAAGAATTTTTATTTAACATAGGCACACACTAAATCAATAATAAATAAACTTTGTCCCTAGAAGGAATAATTTGTGTGTAATAGAAGAAAATAATACAATGTGTGATTATTCAGTCGTTGAAAATTCTTAAGGCCAATGTAATTTGACATTGAAGGAAATTAGTGTCAAATTCTAAGTCTGGCTTTAAAAGTTTATATTCAACCTGACACCTGGACAGAGTGATAGTTTGAGCTGAAGGTTACACTTTATTTTATCATATCCATTTGAATATTCATTTGTAATTTGTTGAATTAAGATGATATTTGGTATGTTAATGTTATATAAAGGTACCAGATTGGAGTTTTGGGAAAGCGACTTTTCTAGATAGAATTGGATAAGTTCATTTTATTTTATTTTTTAATGCATTTTGTTATATGGGCCTTATTGGTAACAGATTTAAATGTAAAATACAGTGTTTTGATTAAGTTACACCTTAGTTCAAATACACTATAAATCACTAAGCTTTGCTAAATGTTCAACATTTTTTCAATGAATTTGTTATTCAAATATTTTAATTCAGATCTCCCAAGTGTTTATGTAATGACTTAGAATTGTGTTAAATATTGCTCTCCAAAGTATTCATTTCAAATTTTCCCAAATGTATTCTGTCATGAAAATTCAGTGAATTGATATCTGCATAATTTACTTTGCCACCTAAACCCTACCATATAAACTTAACACCTGCTATTATAAAAAGCAGAGCTACTCAAAACATTCTTAAAATCTTACTGTCACAGTCTGGTATATTTTCAGTAGATGTGAAAGTTTACAAACTGGGAACTCTCATTAGGTTAGTCCAAAATCTGAATTCTGTGTTTTTCCTTGTGTGCTTACCAAACCCTTAGAAAATCATTTGTGTGATCCACTTAAGTATCATCTCTGCTATACTGTTAGGTCTCGGAGGATAGAATTTATATTATCAGCATTTTTTACTATAGCAGCTACTTATGATTAGCAGAATGATTTGGACAGTCTTATTTTAGTCAATATTTGTAAATGTATATAAATAAATGTGAATGCATGAATAAATGAATCCAAATCCCTTATATTTATAATGCAACATTCACACTACTGCAACATGTTGACACAGGTCTGGTTGGCAACATTTAATGCAGGCAGGTTCTGCTGTAAGAGTGTATAGAACTTCATTTGGGGGCTCTCAAGAGTTTTGTCTTAGACTTCAAATTGTAAAAACCATAAGGTTTCTATGGGCAATGATGAGCTCACTCAATAAAGCACAGTTTGCCTATTTGATTTATTTAGGCCACTGGATTCTTAATTCCAGGTGTTTTACAGTATTATATTGGCTATCACTACTCTTCTCCCTCTTTATTCTGTTTTAGTATAATATCCAAGGTCACAAAAGGAACCATTATGAGATGAACTTTGGTGAAATCCTATGGCCTTTTGGAAATTTCTCTCAGACTCTCAATTTGGATTTGAATTGTTGATTAGATAACCATTGGCCATGGTTATGTATTTCAGAGCTGCTGAGTGTAGGTTCAAAACTGGTGCTATTGTTGACTACAAGAAATAAAGAGAAGGGATATTTACAGCACAGTAGTATTTTCCTGAATTGGAGTGGAGGAAAAAGAATCAATGAAAGTGTGGTAAACAGTGGCTAAGAAGAGTGTAAACAGTCTATGTTGAAAATTCCATGACCCTAGGAATCATTTTGCTCAGAACTAAAGGAAAACAGCAGTGAAAAGTAGGAAGACTCAGTCTGTTATGTTCACAACAGACAGAATTTGGGTACTTTAAAAGGAAACACCAGCAATACAAGGAAGAATGTGATAAACTTAAAGACACTTTTTGTCTCTTAGGAAAGTGAATTAAAAAAAAATCCAAAATGCTTAAATTCAGCATCCAATATTTGTCCTTAATATGTTCGAGAGGGAATAATGCTAATGTTTTAAAAGTTTATCTTACATCTGACAGATATAAGAGAAATATAGGGAAGAAAGTAGAATACAACAAGAATTTCAGTCAAGTTGTTTTACTGCCCGGAAAGAGAGGTGACCCTTTTATTACAATATAAGAGGTCAAAGCTTTTCACGGTTAAAAAAAAGTAAAAAACTGAGAGGTTTGAGAAAGAACACACATTGGAGGATAGAGGCTGAAGAAAGACAAAACAAAAGCTAAACAAAAACAATTTTAGTTTGACAGTCTTTTCGAGGACATTTTCTAATTTCAAGAAATGGAAGAACATGTGGGACCCACTTCTGGGATACAAAAGAAAAACTGCTGGAGTCTATCTTCTACCATTGAAAATCTCCATTTAATTCAACATTAAAGTACTGGAAGCATAGCAGTAAATACATACATACATATATTCATTAATTAATTTTAAAAAGGAAAGAAAGACCCAGACAATTACTCAAGAATAAACATATTTCAGATATCACAGCCTGAAGGGGAACCTTTGACTTTCCCAGGAAATAAGAAGACAGTACCCCAATTAATCAACTGATAGAAGAGTTCCATCAATTGAAATTTCTGTTCATGTATTTTACATTCTAAATAGTGCCACAAAGAGGCACTAGTAGTGATTATGCATCCAAAAATGTTTTTACTGTTTTTGTTTACATTTGTTAGTTTACTCCTTTTCCTGAAACAATTTTCTCCTGTAGTTGGTGGCTGACAAGCATAGGCAAGCATTTCACAGTAGGAGATGCATGTCTAAGAATCACTTGTAGAGCTCTTAAAAATTACAAAATACCAAATTTAACTTGGAATCAAATATGCTGGAATAAGCTGTGTACATGTGCATATTTAAATAGCTATGAAGGTGACAGCTAGGTGAGGCTCTGACTTAATACCTTATAACTAGTTGCCTTAAACATTGTTTTTGAGTGTTTCAATTTTGCACCAGAAATATTATTTTCTATGGGAATTTGTGTCTAGATCATAAAAAGTAGTAGCTGTTTGCATTTGTTTCTAGAGAATTGATTTTTTTTTCCTAAATATTGTGGAACTTATATTGGTGCTAAAATGCCCTTATGTGTCTTGACCAGCTGCGACGTCAGCAAAGCAGACACACAAGACTGACTGAAGTTAGACTAACCAACTTTGCAGATGTTAAATGAAGATATGAGTCTAATTACGGTAGAGGATGACTCAAGTGGCTACAGCTGGGGATAAAATCCAGGCTCTCCTTAGCCACATGAGAGTGTCATTACAGCAAGGACTGAGTTGAATAAAGACATGATAGTGGAGAAATTATTTTTGAAAATAAATTTATTTGAAAGGAAGAAGAATGTTTATTTAGGAGGCTTTAATTCCCTTGTAGAAATAAAATGTTTACTTAGGAAGATGTTTTAAAATTTACTTTTCTCACATTGCTTAGTTGCTGACAAGGCATGATAGTCAAAGCTTTTAAAATTTACTTTCATGTAACAATGTGATAGATTAACCAATGTTTTATATTCTTTTTAATAGCCATGACATTTGGGCTACTTTTTTGTTTGTATGCTAACCAAGATTATGTTGTATTATTCCCATGACTGTATCAGTTTTAGCATGTATTTGATTATACAGTTAAGTAATATGCAAAAGAATGATGCATGAGTGTGGGGAAAATAGATTTATTTTGTTCTATATGCACTAAGTGAAATACTTTGCAGATATTCCCTTTAGGCAAATCATTAAGAAGAAATCGCTGTCAAAGTGGTTCTGACAAAGAGTTTTAAAAGACTCAGGAGTGGTGGGAGAGTAAAGTGTATAGAAGGATTCTATATTCAGAATTATTTTCCAGTTATCTGTAATGTCTCTTTACTTTATATAAGTAGCAAACTGAAAATAGATGTATTATGGGAGTCATATACAAGAAATATTTTATTAAGATACATTATCACTGATGAGTTATGTTTTTAAAGTTAAAATATAGAAATGGCATGTGTATCATTTTAATTTATGAATTAATATATTTGTTCAATTTCTGCACCAATACATCCGTTAAATCAGAGAAGGATTCTATTTTCTGAAGGCAATGTTAAGGGGCATTTAGAGAAGCCCTTGATCAATGTGATGTACTGCTTATTTCATTGGTCCCAGAATGATCAATAGAAGACATGGCAAAGAGCAGGGAAGGGGCCTCACCACAGTGCTTGCAGAAGTTCTCTAATTCTCTGCCCATCTCTTCCTCAGAGTGGAAATTAATGTTCCTAATTGATAACAGGTTTTAACAACACAATAAATTGGAGGGAAGGTTGAAATAAAATGTGCCTTCTAAAGTAGGGGATAAAATATTTATGGGTAGCATCCTACTCTTTCTCCAGAGAGAAGTATTTCTTTGGATAGCTCACATCGAAGACACCGATAACATGCATTTTATAGTAAAGTTTAAAGTTTAGCATGCATGAGCATGACTCCTTTCTCTCCTTTTAGTTGAATGAGTTCATGAGTGCTAAAGAACACTCTCATATGGGAGGTTTTTGGCCATCAACATTTCTAGGTTTCAATCATGGAAGTCAAACTACTAAAGTCACTTCGGGATTGTCCCTTGATGTAGTCCTGCATTAGCTCCTGCTCTCCTCAAGGACAATTTGGAGTTAAATATTTTATCATTTTACATGCAAAACTTTCTACTATATTGTGACTGTGAAAGATTTGAAAAGATCATCATTAAAAAAGTTTTGAACGAGAAATGTATATGCTTCTTAAATCATAGAAACATGTATAAAGTTATACTTATAAAAGAAGCTTGTTATTAATAGTTTTGAAATAAAAATTGAATCAACATTTAACGTCTTTCCTTATACCTCACTTTAATAAAAATAATTTCATAATACAAGAAATTTAATAAATATAATTATTTTTAACAAATCAAGCTTTGTATAGGTGCCTGCAAATTCTCTCCAGAGTACATTCTCCTCTCCCCAGCTTAAATATAACATTATTATTTTCTTAGTGTGAAGATGCTGCTAAAATCGTTAGATGACCTTGGGCCAAGTAGAACTTACACTCAAGTTTCTTTCCTTAAGAAGAAGTTATAACGTGAAACAAGAACCCATAAAGATTCCAGAACAGAGGTTTGGAGCTTTACTTTGGAGTAGCAGACACTATTCATTCCTCTGATTACACTGTGTTATTGTTTTCAGGCTGATTCTTTAATTTATGCCTTTGTTGTTGGTATGGTAAAAGGAGCATGCAAATATCCACCAGTCGAGAAGTGTACTAACTCATATACTTGCAAGGACAAATGAGGCTCCGAAAATTTAAAACATATTGACCACTCAGTCCAACTTTTAAAGCAATGATTTTTTTTTTTTTTACTGAAGTTAGAATACTAAGGATATAAACCATCCAAAACTTCACAAAACGAGTCATTCATCTTGTTTCTTTTTCTAGTCTTGACATTAAAAATTCAGACGTTAATTTGGTTTAACTCATTTTCATATGGTAAAAGAATGTGAGGAATGTTTTAGGAAAATCACAACTTTTGATTTTTTTTTCTTCCTGGAATACTCCAACAGTATCTGTTAATTGATCAAGTGTTGAGTGTATAATTACTGAGCTTTCTGGGAATTTGAAATCAGGGATCTGACCTTGCTTTCTTAGGAGACCAGACACAAATTTATGAATACCCATTGAAGGTAATGATTTCAATTGTATTTGTATTAGATGGTGCAAAAGTAATGGCAAAAACTGCAATTACTTTTGCACCAACCTAGTACCTCCGACCTTACTCCCCTTTGGGGCAATTTTCTTCTTTTTTCCAATGACAATCAGCCCAGCCCAAAAGGATCCTTAATCAGCCGTCTTGTCCTAGCGTTATTTTGGTAACTTTAAAAATTTTGAACTACATTTTGGAGAACTGACTACTTTTATAAGATAACATAACTTTTACCTTATGATTTTATTTTTTCTGATGTTTTTCTAGGTCATTCAATACTCACAATAAAAATAATTATAACTACTTTTCTTTGGCTTAACATTACCCACTGCATTTTGGACACTGGAGTCAATTTAAATTCTTCAGGTGATGTCTCACATGTGATCAGTCACATGGACTATATCCCAGTATCTGTCATTTCCTCCTCTCTGCTGTCCACAGACATTATTTTATGAAACCATTGAGTCCTGCTTGCTATATAAATTTTCTCCAAACAGGCTGCTATGGAGAGATAAAACAAAAAAATAAAATTTCAGGCCAATATCCCTGATGAACATTGATGCAAAAATCCTCAATAAAATACTGTCAAACCGAATCCAGCAGCACATCAAAAAGCTTATCCACCACAATCAAGTTGGCTTCATCCCTGAGATGCAAGGCTCATTCAACATACGCAAATCAATAAACATATTCCATCACATAAACAGAACCAATGACAAAAACCACATGATTATCTCAATAGATGCAGAAAAGGCTTTCGATAAAATTCAACATCGCTTTATGTTAAAAACTCTCAATAAACTAGGTATTGATGGAACGTACCACAAAATAATAGGAGCTATTTATGACAAGCCCATAGCCAATATCACACTGAATGGGCAAAAGCTGGAAGCAGTCCCTTCGAAAGCCAGCACAAGACAAAGATGCCCTCTCTCACCACTGCTATTCAACACAGTATTGGAAGTTCTCACCAGGGCAATCAGGCAAGAGAAAGAAATAAAGGTATTCAAACAGGAAGCGAGAAAGTCGAGTTGTCTCTGTTTGCAGATGACATGATTGTACATTTAGTAAACCCCACTCTCTCAGCCCCAAAACTCCTTAAGCTGATAAGCAACTTCAGCAAAGTCTCAGGATACAAAATCAATGCGAAAAAATCACAAACATTCCTATACGCCAATAATAGACAAACAGAGAGACAAATCATGAATGAATTCCCACTCACAATTACCACAAAGAAAATAAAATACCTAGGAATACAGCTAAAAAAGGACATGAAAGACCTCTTCGATGAGAACTAAAAACCACACAGGGTGGGGAAAGACAAACACCGTGGCCTTTCAGGGGGTGGAGGCTAAGGGGAGGGAGAGCATTGGGACAAATACCTAAAGCATGCAGGATTTAAAACCTAGATGATGGGTTGATAGGTGCAGCAAACCACCATGGCACATGTATACCTATGTAACAAACCTGAACGCTCTGCACATGCATCCCGGAATTTAAAGTCAAATAAAATTAAAAAACAAACAAACAAAAACAAGCTGCCATGTATTTCAACCAACAAAAAGTCATTATGCTTAACTGGGAAAAATATATTTCTTCCAAAATTTTAAAGCAAATTTATCAAGCTGACAAGTCTTAGGCTTTCAGTTGTTTACAGAGACTTCAGCGATGATAGACCTTTATTAATTTAGAAATGCTTCCAGGCTAGTGTCATGTCCTTGGAATCTTGGCAGGAATCTGAAAAGTGTAGTATAAGAGTAATGCACAACTTGTGACAGGCTGCAATTATAAATGACCCTTCCCTTTCATAGTTGCCTTTGATCCTTGCACCAAGTTTAATCTCAACTTTCTCTTTCATTAAGAAGAGGTTTTTACTAACAAAGTTCCAAGTCCTTCATACACATAGGACTTTGGTTTGTTCACCAAGATAACTTCCTAGGTGAGGATATTCCTTGCTTTTTTTTTTTTTTTTTTTTTTTTTTGAGACAAAGTCTGGCTCTGTCGCCAGCAGTGGTGCGAGATCTGGGCTCACTGCAAGCTCCGCCTCCCGGGTTCACGCCATTCTCCTGCCTCAGCCTCCCGAGCAGCTGGGACTACAGGCGCCGGCCACCACGCCCAACTAATTTTTTTGTATATTTAGTAGAGACGGATGTTAGCCAGGATGGTCTCTATCTCCTGACCTCGTGATCCGCCCACCTTGGCCTTCCAAAGTGCTGGTATTACAGGCGTGAGCCACCGAGCCCTGCAGAGGATATTTCTTATTTACAAGATACTCAATTCTTAGTCTTTCTCTCTGGAACCCCCAATACACTGTCAATACTGTGAGATTGCTAGTTTTGTATGATATTATATTCTGTTTTAACTCATTTTACTCAAAATATAAATATCTTACTTAAGACAATTACTTATATTTATTTTGGAGTGTATGGAGTTGTGAAAGAAATTCCAGTTGAGATCCAAAGGTATTTGTTGACCTTTTAATAATATGTTTAATCCTCATTAATTTTTATGATAATTATACATAAAGAGAGCTTTTGAAGTTACTAGTTATTAAACTCAAGAATTTCTAAGCTCTTATACATTAAAAGTAAAGCACTATTCTTTACAGAACTTCAAATCCCTGATGTAGAAATTATGTAAATTTATTTTATTTTATTTTAATGTATGTTATTTTTTTGAGACAGAGTCTCACTCTGTCGCCCAGGCTGGACTGCAGTGGGGCGATCTCAGCTCACTGCAACCTCTGCCTCCCAGGTTCAAGCGATTCTCCTGCCTCAGCCTCCTGAGTAGCTGGGATTACAGGCACCCGCCACCACGGCTGGCTAATTTTTGTATTTTTAGTAAAGACGGGGTTTCACCATGTTGGTCAGGCTTGTCTCAAACTCCTGACTTTGTGATCTGCCCGCCTTGACCTCTCAAAGTGCTGGGATTGCAGGCGTGAGCCACCGCTCCCGGCCAATGTACGTTTTGTATTTGGGACAGACGCTTATGTCATTGGGACTATATGGCAAAAACTAGTGCAGGAGCGTCAAAATGTGTCCCTGTTGTAATATTAAGTGAGAAAAGTGTATTCTACAATATTTTGATTATTTGAACTACATAAACATCACTAAGTCATAAGCATTTAAAATCCTCTTCTATTACAATGAATTGTTTCATTCTTCACTCTCATTTTGTTTCAATACACTCCATATTCCCATTAGTTGAATCTACCTGAGAAGTTGTCATTTGGGGATTCAAGAGTGAATGAATAATATTTGAAGGGCAAGAAATCTGGACAAGGATATTATCTCATGTTTAAAATAATGTCTTATTGCAATTTTACACAGATAATGGAGAGGTATCATGATTCTTAAAATCTCAATCCCCCAAAGAAGAGTGAATTATAAGTTCCTTAAAAGACCTTTACAACATAGGTTACATAAAATTAGCATTAATATTAGAGTGGCTATGAACATTTACATTATGTTATAAAATATTGTCTACAGCCAAAAATAGTATATCTTTTCTGACATATTTAAGATTCATATGTATATTTGATATGTTTGTATGCAAGGTTAGTCTTACTCGTGCAAAATATAAAGATTCAGATACTTTACAATCTTTATAAGCTCGGTGAAATATATATGCACCCCATATTTCCAAAAACAGAAGAAAAAGAAGAAAGGAATAAAAAACAGGCAAAAGGAAAAGAAGTAAAGCAAATTGCCCCAAACACAATGATTAGTCATGTCGCTTCCCAAAGCCTTGATGTTTCTTTAATAGAAGAAAGGTCAATGATTTTTATGTATAAGCAAAATTAACAATTATAATTTATCAGTATTCTAAGTGAGTTAGAACACTGCTGAAAATGTTTGATTGGATTTTAGATTCAGAGCAAGTTCTGATTGTGGAATATGAGATTTTGGGTAATGAGGGACATCATGATTCAGCTTCCTCATGCTCAGGGGAATCTGGTACCAAAGGAGAGGAGAGGTCTATATTTCACAATTGTAAATCCAATATATGCTTGCTCACTTCACATAATGTCTGATCATTCCTGATAATGTAGATATACTTGTATAATGTTCATATGTTTAATTTTGAGCTTTAACAAAAATAATTCTGCTACTTTTGATAAGAAACCTATATATATAAAAATTCAAAATATTAAACTAGTAAAATATGTTAGAAAAATGTGTTTTGACATTATTTTGCACAAAATATTGGAAATGTTTTTATTGCTGAGTTATCAATTTCTACAGTTATAAAAATAATGACTTAATTAACTTCCTACTAAATATATGTTCCCATTGCAGTGTGTTCTATTTTGGGGGGCAGGAGGGGGAGATTGGCTTTACTTGTGTCACTGACACACAAATGGCTACATCTGGAGAAAATTTTGAGACCTATTATATTATCTAGAAAATCTTTGTATACATAAAATGAATTCCAAGCAATTGTAAAAGAATTCTAGTGTTAGAAACACTACTTAAATATGAGTAGTAAAATATAGGGCAAGCTACCAAGAAATATCATTACTAATAAACACTTTTTGGAAGAGGGGGACATTTTTCCAAAAGAAAAAAAAAGTCACTTATGTATTAAATCCAGAAGGTGGCAATCTTGTACTATTCATTGTATTATGCACACGTCATTTTTCTCTTCTCTCTTCTATACACACATACACACACACACTCACACACTTAGATGTACGTATGCATATTTAGAAGTCTAAACACATAAAACTGCATGCATGCATTTATACAGTGGATACTTGTTCACATGGCAACATTGCAATATAATTTATATCATTGTCCTATTTTGCCAGGTATATGGAGTTAACAATATATTTTAGTACTTAATTTGGAATATTCACAAATATATCAAGAAATAGTTTTTGATGCAAAGTTAGTGCATACATGCATTATTGAATAATCATTTTATGTTTCATCAATTATGCAATACAGTATTAAGGCAAAAATAATTTTGTTATGGAAAATTCATTTTCAAAATTGAAATATAATTGTATCAATATAATCAATTGTTTTTATGGTTTTATTTGGGTTGTTTGCAGTGAAGCACAAACATATCAAGTAGGATAGAAAGTCAGTTGTGATAGTTCAATGTATTTAAATGCAAATTTAACATACATAGTAAATTGTAATTCTAGATCAAGGAATAAACAATATGAGTGAGTCAAATATATTAGACTTCAATAACCAGATAACTAATTCTTAGTTATGTAAACTATTCTTAGGGATGATGTCTCCAGCAAATGTGTACCTACATGAGATCTAGAGGCTAAGTAGAAAATAAAAGAAGAAAATAGCTACAGACGAACATGTGGTTTAAAAAATTAAGACTAAAGAACAAAGAAGTAATTTCAAATCGTTTTAAAATATAAATGAATATGTGAAGTAATCCTACAGATGTGTAAAGACTTTATTTCATTTTATTTGTGACAAACCAAATTCTATTTTTTTCTAGGTTATACAACCCATTTCGTTCATTTATGAATCAATTTTCTGTATCATTTTCTTTTCACTTGTATGGAGACAATGTGATACCGTGGACATAACATGGGGCTTTAGCCTAAAACCAAGCTGGATGCATGCTCTTGCCTCCTGCAAACTAGTAACCTGACCTTGAGCAAGCTACTTAACCTGTCTGAGAAACCTACAGCCTGTTGAGGAAATAAGGGCAACGTTACATAGAGTACAAAGTTGTTGCGTGTCATAGTTCATACTTTATAAAAGTTAGTTTCTTTTATACTTTCAAGTTTTGTTCTTGGTGTAGTATTTATAATGCTAGGTAGGAAATTCAAAAACAATTTTACATTATGGCTTTTATGGTGCTTTTGCAAATCTGATTACAATATAGGAGTCTTTTCTAAGTGCTCCACGTTTTATTTTCCCCAAGAAAACATATAAATTCGTGCACTTGTAAAATTCTGTTTTTTGAAACACTCAATTTTCACAAAAAGTAGGATCATTTTTCCTGTGTAAAAATGGTTAAAATTTATGTCATTTTTCTTCTTGCTAAGTTGTTAAAGAAATCTTACGTAACTTACATTTGTATTCTTATAAAAATATTTCTAATTGGGTTGGCAATAAGTTTTGTGGCTTGATTATCTTCTAGAAACTTTAAAATTGCATTGACATGTGCTTTTCATAAGATGTAAATGCACCCATAAACTGGTATGTATGATTAAGTACAGAGTGAAACATTTCAAAAGCTGAATTAGATACAGATTCTCCCAAACTACTAAGTGGTATAATTGTTCTGGATAGGTTTCTTGCATTAATAACCCAGTCAATAGAAACATTTAATTTCCCAGAATGAAAACCTGATGAAAAAGAAAAAAGTGGTGGTTGGAGGTGGGGGGATTGTGAAAAGAACTACGAGCCACAGTAATTGACAATAGCAGGATACCTTTAAACTTCCATTTTCTGAGGTTTTTCTGAGAAGGAAGAAAAATGAAGTTAAACAGCATCCTGTTCTCTAGCCCTATATAGTAGCATAGACATTTTTAATTACTATTAAATAAATTCAGTTATGTTACTTTGAAGTTTAAATGCCACTTCCAACTTTTAGTAATTATTGAAGGTAGAATTGCATGAGAATTTTATATATTTAATTAGGTATGTTTTTGGCTATTAGTACAACTTATTTGCCCATGAAGAATTAATGAAAATTAATTTTGATTTAATTTTTGATTTGATTTATTTAATCAAATAATGGCTCTTTTTTATTTTTTTATTTTTTATTTTTATTTATTTAATCAAATAATGGATGGGCTCCAGAGCCCATCCCAATAAAATAATATAATTTTATTTTAAGCTGTTTTCTTCTTATGTAGTATATAAAACTATGCTGAATTCTAAATAGCTTGAGCTTGACATAATTTTTAAAAATCTGAATTTGATGCTTCATAAATTAGTAAAGATTTACTGTAACAACCAGTATCAAGCTTTTTTAGCCATAAAATATAATGCTATAGCAGAATTTTTAGATAGTAGAATATATTAATAATATTTGATGATATTTCTTAAACTGTAGTTCATATATAATATATCTGAACTAGTATACAGGTAATTTTTGATCAAGGTGACCCCAATCTTTTTTTTTCTTAATAAGAAATGTACTCTGGGTATACCTTACTATTAACATGGGAAAATGAAACAAAACATTATGCCATCATTTTTAACTTTTCACTAAATAATAATGTACACAAGCATTAACTTCAATACAGTCTCTTTGAAAACTCTGCATATTTATGTGAATTCTATTATTTGGTAAAATAATGCAAACACCTGGGTAGATAAGCTAAAGAAAAATTTACAAAGGCTATATATATATATATATTCATTCAGTATTCTCTCTTTTTATAATTTTTATATAATTTTTTGTAATAGATGAAGTGTCACTATGCTCCCCTGGCTAGAGTGCGAGTGCAGTGGCTCTTCGCAGGTGCCATGATAGTGCACTGCAACTTTGAACTCCTGGGCTCAAGCAATCCTCCTGCCTCAGCCTCCCAAGTAGCTGGGACTCCAGGTGCATGTCACTATGCCCGGCTTTGCAGCATTATTTCTAGATGCAAGGAATTGAAAATAATAGTCAACAATATTGGAGTGATGCTTAGTATGACAAAATGAGATGACAATCCCTTAAGAAGCCATTCAAAATCATAATTTTGAAAAATATTTGAGTGTATAGAAAATACTTGTAATAATCATTCAGTCATAATTTTACAAATGTTTGTTAAACATCCCCATAGGCTGAGCCCCTTACTGAGCTCTGAGTTTGGTGTCTTGCACATCGCTGACACTCAGTAATGTGAAGACCAAAACAGAGTCCTTTAGGCAGTCCTTCAGTTTGGTGTGCATAGAAAAAAAGACATGTAATTTCATACACACAATAAATTTATTAGAGGGGTGAATTTGGGTGATTGTAATATTTTCATTTACAGACACTTTCAAGTCTCAATAATAGGCGTATATTAATTAATGTGATAAATATAAGAAAATAAATATAGGTACACATACACACAGACACACAGATACACACACACACACACACACACACACACACACACACACACAGTGCTCTTACACCTTAAGCCACAGATTTTATGACAGTTTAAATTCCAAACAAGGAAAGTAAATAATCCTCCTATGTCAACTGTAGGGCTCTAACACCAAAAGTCCAAACATCATTAACAAAGTAGACACAAGCCCAACTACCAAATTGCTCTCATGATGTTAGAAAAAAATTATATTACAAAAAACCCACACAAAAAAAAACAAAAATAACCCCCTAAATCCAGAAATCCTGTTACTCATGTAGTTCTTACTGCTTTTTATTTGAATTGTTCTTTTTCTTGATAACTTTCTCCTCTCTGAATCAGCACTGATATGTTCTTTATTAATATTTTCATTTTCTTCCCCATTAAACTCTTTGCAATATTAGGATCTAAAAATATTTTATGTCTAGTTTGAATGAATACAGACAATTTTACATCACCTCTTACAGTATCATCTGTGTTAAATCATATATTTGCAAAACTTATTTGGCAAGGGATTTTACTGAAACAATGGCACACAAACCAGCATAAAGCAGTGTTTATTTACAATATGTTATGTGATTTTTTAAAATTTAAAATTAATTTGCTAAATGTCATGATATCCACTTAATGTGAATGTTGCTGGTTAGGTTAATTCACTTTTTTCTTTAAACTTCTTAATATCTGAACTTTTTTTCTATTCAGAACTCACCTTAATGCTTATAGAATAATGCAAAAGTATGTTAGATAACTTTTTACACAATTTCCAATGCAGTTTTCATATTCAAGTTTTAAAACTGATGATTTAGTAACAACTTTTGATGTACTCTATTTGAATGTCAAATCCAGGCCCATCTGAATCGAAGATTTAAAAAAAATAAATCTGAGGATCACAAGTTCAGAAACTTAGAACCGTATTTAGAAATTGCAAAGTATCTTTATTTAGACAAGATTTCTGCTGCTTACAGATCAGTAGATGAGTAATACTAGTATGCAACTGAAATTCTGTGCATGGGGTGTTCTGAAAACCACGACATCTCACTTAGAGAAGGAATGGCTCATAATTTCTCAATCAGATGTTGCTACCAATTGTACTGGTACACCATCTAAAAAATAAATGCTTCTTGCCATTGCTACTCTCTATTAGTATTATTGTTTTTATATTATTATTATTATTAATATTATTGCTGTTATCATTCATATATTTACAACCTGTGCTGATGGGACTCTGCTAGTACTGCCAGACACATGATCTTCATGGAAACTGCTATACAGAGGAGAAATAGATGCTAAAAACATTTGGGCTTGCAGGGTACCCAGAAATCAATTGGTAGATATATATAATGAAGAGATATTTGCACACATTCAATACATATATGTTTTAGAAGGTATACAAATTCACAAAGGAGTCACTCTTCATTTTGATATACTTTGCAATACACATAATTACCCATGGTGTGTGCTGGCTGCAATGATTAATTTTGTAATTGCGATTATTAGCTCACATGAAAACAAGACATCTCGCAATGTCATAATAATAAGTCTTAAAGAAAGTTTTTCTTTAATGATTCTTCTCGATAAATCTATGGTGCTGTTATGTTAAACTATTTGACATTTTGTGTTTTTTTAAATACCATTGTCCTCCATTTCCCTTACTCTATCTTAGTATTTATTCATGTATTCATGTATTTAACAAACATTTTTGTGTGCCTACGTGTGACAGACCACCTTCTGGCAAAGATAATATAGCTATGAACAAAATATATGAAAGGCCTAGCTTTCAGAAAGATTTAACTGGGGCAAGACAAAGAAAATGAACAAGGTATGTAACACTTAAAATGTAATGTGGGTATAGGAGAGGAAGATCATACAAATGGAAAAATGGATTCAAAAGGAATGGTGGTCAGGGGACTGATCTGAGAAAATGTGATATTCCTACAGAAACCTGAAGGAGATGAGAGAGTGAACCTTGTAGATATTGGGAGAAGGATATTCTTGGGAGAAGGAACAGAGAGAGCAAAGGTATCACAGTTTATTGTTTCTCCAACAAGAACTTCAAAGTAATAAATATGTTCAAAGTAAAATATACAGCAATACAGCTTTATTTACATAAATTATAATCTGAAAAACCGAAGCAATTATCTAGATTATTAACACATTAATATCCCTATAGGTTGATTAGATGGGTTTTGCTAAAGTAACCTGGGAGAATGTAATACATTTTAATGTTACATTCTGATACACTAATACTTCATAAAGTTAGCAAATGTGTACAAAGAATCTTTGTTTTGCCAGTAATTCTTCTGGGCCTCCAAACTCTCAAGGTAAGTAAGTCCCAGGTTTTGCTCCCTGAAGAGTCATTCTTGTAGGAGACACAGACACAAGTATAATTCATGGTAATATAATTTAAGTATCACTGTGGAAATGTATACAGAATGCTACTGCAAGAGATGGATAGTTAATTTAGCTTAGAGAAGGATAGAAAGGGCTTCATAAAGAAAGATATGTTCTAGTGTGGCCTTGTAAGAGGCTGGACATATTCAAGGCCAAGTAAAGGAGAGGTAAGAAAATTCATAAAGCAAACAAACAAGATAATTCAACACAATTGTAACATAACTCTTTTGAGGACAGTGTTTAAAGATACTTTATAGGAGTTGATTATTATGAGTTAATGAGTGGTCTTGTTTCCACATCAGCTAATGAAAACAATCATTATAATAAATTATAAAAGCTTATATTGACTGAGTGCTTTGTATGTGCAAAGTGAGTCATTAATCCTCAGAGCAACTCTGCAAAATGGGCACATTTGTAACTCCATTTTGTAGGATAGAATATTTAAATCAAGTAATCATTCAAAGGTCAAGAGAGTACCTGGTTGAAACAGGAATAAACTACTTGTTCTTACTTGTTCTTTACTATAAGGTCAAATTCTTAAGTTTTGCTTACTATAAGCAGTGGGGAAGGCTCTGAAGCTGACTCACTGAGCTGGAGGACATTATAGATGACTGTGTCCTATCCATTTTACAAACAAAGAAAATGGAGTAAAATGAATTGGCTCCTTCTCCATATTTACAAATTCAAAGGCAAAACTGGAAAACGACTCTAGTCTCTTTATTTGGTATTTCATATTTGGCAAGATTTTCTAAAATAGTATTGTGCCCATTTAGAAACAGATCTCATCTCCTTCCTTCCTGTCAGCACATTTTCAGAACGTATCTGCTTAGTAAATCCTGAATGATTTATTTTTGAAAACAAAATACAGACCAGATTCAAGAAACTTTACCCCAAATTTCTATTTTTGAGATCTCGGATACATTTATCTCTTTGGCAATGAGTTCTTCATTTTTATAAAATAAAAAGTTGAATCGAATATAATATCTTATACCTCTCAAAATCAATGGTAAATGCTGCTACTTTTCATTCTTCTAAATGTGCCCTTGGGTATTGCTAAAATGTCAGTTACCATTGAAAATAATATTTTACATTTGTCCAACTGAAAGGATCATCCAAATTTTAACACATTCGCTTTTTTAAAAATAAGGTATTTGCAGATTTTGTTATTTTAAAATTCCCTGTACAGTGGAGAAAGCAGATATTCAAAAGGTTAATTTTAACACTACTCATTCAGTAAGTGGTAAATGGAAATTCAACCACAGTCCTTCTGATTCAATGTCCA